>NW_003315968.2:0-201197 GCF_000001405.40 Homo sapiens
ACTAGTGAGTACTTGCCATATTTGTATTTTTGTGCCTTGTTTATTTTACTAACGATAATGATCTCCAGATCCATCCGTGTTGCTGCAAATGACGATTTCATTTTTTTATGGCTGAAAAGTATTCCACTGTATATATACACCACATTTTATTCATCCATCCATTGACAAACATATAGGTTGATGCTATATCTTTGCTGTTGTGAATAGTGCAGCAATAAACATGTGAGTGCTGGTGTCCTTTGATATATTGCTTTATTTTCCTTTGGGTAGATATCCAATAGTGGGATTACTGGATTGAACAATAATTTTATCTTTAGGTTTTTTGATAAATCTCCATGCTGTGTTCCACAGTGGCTGTACAAGTTTATATTTATGTGAACAGTGTATAAGCGTTTCTCTTTTTCCACATCCACACCAACATCTGTTATTGTTTTGCCTTTTTACAATAGTTATTCTGACTGGATTAATAACACATCTCATTATAATTTTGATTTGTGTTTCTTCATTGATGTTGAAAATTTTCTCATATACCTGCTGTCCATTTGTATGTATTCTTTTGAGAAATACCATTTCATGTCTTGTCTCCAATTTTTAATGAGATTATTTATATTTTCCTGTTGAGTTGTTTGAATTCCTCATACATTCTGGATATTAGTCTCCCATTGGATGAATAGTTTGCAAATATTTCTTCCATTCAATAGGCTGTCACTTTACTCTGTTGATTGTTTCCTTTGCTGTGCAGAAGGTTTTTGGCTTAAAATAGTTCCATTTGTCTATTTTGTTTTTGTTGCCTATGATTTTGGGGTCTGGGTCATAAATTCTTTCCTAGACCAAGGTCCATGATAGTTTGCACTAGGTTTTTTCTTCTAGTAGTTTTATAGTTTTTGGTCTTAAATGTAAGTTGTTTATCAATTTTGAATTGATTTTTGTGTACGGTAAGAGATAGGGGTCCAGTTTCATTCTTCTCCATGTGACTATCTAATTTTCTCATCACTGTTTATTAAAGAAGGGTTTATTTCTCCAATGTAAGTTTTTGTCAGCTTTGTCAAGATCAGTTGAGTGTAAATATATGACTTTATTTCTGGGTTCTTTATTCTTTTTAATTGGTCTGTGCATCTTTTTACCAATACCATACTATGTTGATTACTATAGCTTTGTAATATATTATGAAGTCAGATAACGTGATGCCAGTTTTGATCTTTTTCTTAATATTGTTTTGGTTATTGGGGTCTTTTTGCTTCCATATAAATTTTAGAATTTTTTGTAATTCTGTGAAAAATTATGGTATTTTGATGGGGATTTTATTGAATCTGTAGATTGCTTTGGGCAGTATGGTCATCTTAATTATATTGATACTTCTTATCTATGAGCATGGGATATTTTTCTATTTGTGTCATCTTCAATTTCATTCATCCGTTTTTGCAGTTTTCTTTGTGGAGATCTTTCACTTTCTTGGTTAAATTTATTTCTGGGTATTTTACTTTAGTGTAGTTGTTGTAAATGGTACTGTCATCTTGATTTCTTTCTTAGCTATATTATTTATGTACAGAAATGCTACTGATTTTTGTAACTAGATTTTGAATCCTGAAACTTTACTGAAGTCGTTGATTAGGTTCAGGAGTCTTTTGGCAGAAACTTCAGGATTTTCTAGGTACAAAATTATATCATCAGTGAATAAAGATAATTGAACTTCCTTTCCTATTTTTCCAATTTGTATGCATTTTATTTATTGCTCTTGCCAATTGTTTTGGCTAGGACTTAGTACTATGATGAATGGGAAAGGTGAAAGTTTGCATCTTTGTCTTGTTCCAGTTTTTAGCTGGAATGTTTTCATCTTTTTCTGTTCAGTATAATGTTGGTTGTGGGTTTGTTGTATATGACCTTTACTATTTTGAGGCATATCCCTTCTGTGTCAAGTTTGTTGAGAGTTTTTGTTTTGAAAGGATGTCAAATTTTATTACATTATTTCTTTGTGTTTATTGAGATAATTATGTGGCTTTTGGCCTTCATTCTGTTGATGAGATATATCATATTTGTTGATTTGCATATATTGCACCATTCTTGCATCCTTGGTATAAATTCCACTTGATCATGGTGTATTATCTTTTTGATGTGTTGTTGGACTCCATTTGATAGTATTTTGTTGATTTTTGTGTTAATGTTCATCAGGGATATTGGCCTATATTTTTCTTTTGTGTGTGTCCTTGTCTAGTTTTGGTATCAGGATGATACTGGCCTCAAAAACCATGACAGGAAGAAATACTTTTTATTCAGTTTTTGGAACAGTTTCAGGAGGATTGGTATACCAGTTCTTTGTACATTTGGGTAGAATTCAGCTGTGAATCCACTTGCTCATGGGTCGTTTTTGTTGCAAGACTTTCTATTACTGATTCAACCTTGCTACTTATTTTTGGCTTCTTCAGGTTTTCTATTTCTTTCTGATTCAATCTTGGTAGGTTGTATGTTTCCAGAAATTTACCCATTTCCTCTAGGTTTTTCAGTTTGTCAGCATATAGTTGTTCACAAAAGTCTCTGATGATCCTTTGTATGTCTGTGGCATCATTTGTAATATCTTCTTTTCATTTCTGATTTTGTTTATTTGGGTCTTCTGTCTTCATTTCTTGGTAGTCTAGCTATTGGTTCATCTCCCATCAGTTATCTTAACTAATTCATCAGATAATTTGCTGTAGCTTCTACATCAGCACTTGCTGTTTCATCTTGGGATTTTATGCTGTAGATACAACTGCTTTCCATGAACCTCACTGATCCACCTTTGCCAGCTTCACATTTTTCTTCCACATCTTCCTAACTTCTCTGAGCCTTCATAGAATTGAAGCAACTTAGTGCCTTGCTCTGGATTAGGCTTGGCTGAATGGAATGTTCTGGATGGTTTCCAGAATCATTTATCCAGACCACTAAAGCATTTTTTACTATCAGTAATAAGACTATTTTATTTCCTTATTATTAGTGTGTTCACCGATAGAGCCCTTTTAATTTACTTCAAAAAATTTTCTTTCTATTCACAATTTGGCTAACTCTTTGGTATGTGATGCCTAAATGTTGTCCTTCCCAGCCTTCCTCGCCAAGCTTAATCATGTTTTCTTCACATGCTTTCTTCACTCAGTGTAATCATTTTTAGCTTTTAATTTAAAGTGAGAGACATGTGACTCTTGTTTTCACTTGAACACTTAGGAGCCATTGTAGGATTATTAATTGGCTTAAATTTAATATTGTATTTTTCTCAGGAAATAGGGAGAATTGAAGAGAGAAAGACAGATAAAGACACAACCAGGTGATGGAGCAGTCAGAACACATATAACATTTATTAATTAATTCACTACCTTACATGGCATGGTTTGTGGTGCCTTAAAACAATTAAATAGTAACATCAAAGATCACTGCTCACAGATTACTGTAACAGATATGATAATAACAAAAATGTTTGAAATATGGTGAGAATTACTAAAATGTGACAGAGACATGAAGTGAGCACATGCTGTTGGAACAATGGAGCTGATGGTCTTGTTATACACAGAATTGTCACAAACCTTCAATATGTAAAACACACAATATCTGAGAAGTGCAATAAAGCAAAGCACAATAAAATGGGGAATACCTGTACAATGCTATGTTTTGATCTATGTATACACTGTAAAATGGTTAACACAATCAAGTGAATGGATGTATCTATCACTCTACATGTATCTTTGTGTGTGTGTATTGTGGGAACATTTAAGATCTAATTTGTTAGCAAATTTCAAATATACAATTCAGTGTTATTAACTATGGTCACCATTGCTATACATTAGATCTCCAGAACTTATTCATCCTGCCTAACTGAAACTTTGTGCTCTTTGACTCACATCTCAGCAATACTCCCACTCCCAGCCCCTGGCAACCACCACTCTATTCTCTGCTTTTGTAAATTCAACTTTTTTAGATTCCACATATAAGTGAGATCATAACATATTTGTCTTTCTGTGACTGTCTTATTTCACTTAGCCTAATGTTCTTCAAGTTCATCCACCTTGTGACAAATAGTAGTATTTATTTCTTTTTAACACTAATAATATTCCAGTGTGTGTGTGTATGTGTATGTGTCTCACATTTTCTTTATCCATTTATTCCTTGATGGGCACTTAGATTGATTTCATACCTTGGCTATTATGAATAACGCTACAATAAACATGTGAGTGCAGGTAACTCTTTGAGGTCCTGACTTCAGTTCTTTTAATATATATCCACAAGTGGTATTGCTGGAATTTACATTCATCCTATTCTTATTATATGAAGGACCTCCATATTGTTTTCCATAATGACTATACTAATTTACATCCTCACCAACAGTATGCAAAGATTCCCTTTAGTCCATATTCTTTCCAATACTTGTTACCTTTTGTCTTTTTGAGAGTAGCCGTTTTAACAGGTGTGAGATTATATCTCGTTGTGGTTTTGATTTGCATTCCTTTGATGCTTAGTGATAGTGAACATTCTTTAGTATTCCTGTTGTCCATTTGTATGTTTTCTTTTGAGAAATGTCTATGTACACCTTTTTCTAATTTTTAATCAGGGTATTTTTTTTTTTGCTATTGAGTTTCTTATATATTTTGGAAACTAAACTATCAGATGTTCAAATCAAGTTACATTCCTCTGTTTATGAAGCTATTGATTTTTACAGACAGCCTGTTCTAGTTAAAGTACCATGCCATAGATCTGGGTAGAAAATAGCAGTTCACCCAGGTAATAACATGTCAGACTGCTCCTGCTCTTACTCAATGTTGAGTCATTTTAAATAAGTAATACTTCCCAATTTGTTGAATACCTTTGGTTGATTTTAATAGCCCTGAAAAGATTCCTAAAATGATAACATTTTACAATAAGTTTTTATTGGACCTAGATTATAAATAGTGATGAATATTTATCTTGGAATTTTTAAGGAATATGTGCAATATTCCCTAATAAATAAATGAAATTTATTACCCATGTAAAACAAAGTATGTTAATACCATAACCACAAAAGTTATACATGGATAGTTCTATTGTCAATAGTGCCAACATTTACAATGCAGTCTTAACGTAGTAAGATTTGCTGTTTATTCTAGCAATGGTGATTGTATTCTCTCACTAAAGTATTTAAGCAAAGGGGGCATTAATCCCTGGTGTCTACCCTTGATGTGTCACTTCTCAGAGGAAAAACGTTTTACCTGTAGTACAGAGATATGGATGGCTAACTTGAAGAGTTAAGAAACAAAAGTGGAAATCTTTCCTCTAACCAAGCCCAAGGTTATTTGACAGTGGCACATGTTAGAGAAAGAAAGGAACTCACTAAAAAAATGCCAATCTATTTTCAAAAACATAAAGTGTGAGTTATTTTGGTGAAGCTTATTGTGCAAAAATGCTTAGTAACATGAATACTTAGTAGTACATTCTTTCAAATGTATTGTGCTATTAAATGTAACAGATTAGAATCATAATTTCTACATAACATTAAAAAGCAGCTGTTGTATTTATTTTCCGACACCAAATTCTTCTCATAAATATACAACATTTATTTAAAATCTGGTATACTTACTCAGAAACTGTTCATTGCACCATTAATTTTCAAACTATAACCTGAAGGTTATCAGATTTTTCATCATTACTATTGTGAATGTTATGTTTAGAAAAGTCGCATGTCAAAAATATTTTATAAATGTAGATGGTGCCCAAAGATTTTAAGAAATATATTGTGACCAAAATTTTAGCATCTCTG
The DNA here is from genome assembly GCF_000001405.40 of Homo sapiens. NCBI lineage: Eukaryota > Metazoa > Chordata > Mammalia > Primates > Hominidae > Homo > Homo sapiens. The sequence goes on from NW_003315968.2 coordinate 5,753, forward strand.
TCATTACCTACCATCAATTTCAAGTAACAATTGAACTAATATATAAAATTAAAAGAAACATGTTACTGAGATATGACTACAACAAAAGATTTCATTTTAGAAGGGAAGACAAGTGTAAGTAACTGCTGGACAGCAGACTGTGTTCTCTCCTACAGAAATTATCTTTAACAGGTGGGAATTGCTCAGTGATCAAGCACAGCTCATCAAAATGTTAATAACATGACAAGAGGTAAATGTATTCATGAGAATATTAAAAATGTGAAACAATAGCATTTTTACATGCAGCTCAATGTTTACATCCAAATAAGCCTAATCATATGTTAAATATTGTAAAATATATTTAAGTAATAGATATATGAACATTAAAAAGTGAGATAATGTCAGAAATTGGCAAATAACCTGATCATATAGAGATAATAAACCAGGGTAAGTCTGAGAGATATTTAGAAAGCAGTCCATAGTCCAATCTGATTTCTACTTTTTGGAGGCTCAGTTTGTCAACTTTCTGGGTATTGACAGAAAAGGGGGAGAGTAGAATTCAGGAGGGCAGACAGAAGACCACTGGACTAGACAACAGGCAATCTTGCTTAAATTTAGGATTGCAGGTGGAGAAAAATGGTTGGATTGAAAATATGACTTTGAATATAGAACTTTCTGATAGGTTAAATACTGGGATTTATACCACAGTATTAGAAAAAGAAAGGTGTCATGATAGAATCATAGGTTTTTGGTTTTAGCCACAGGGTCAACTGATGGTATCAGTTGCTGAAACAGAAAATACCAAAGAACAAGACAGATTGGGGAGAAAAGATTCTAAGCCAACTGTTAGTGGCATGTTAACTTTGAGATGCTTCTTGACATCTAAACTGAAATTTTGAAGGTTTTTAAAGATAGTTAGGCTGAATTTACAGAAGAGGTATGTGCACCATCAGCTTTATATTTAAAGACATGGAGATATGGGGTCATATTGAGAGTGAATGTGTTTAGAGAAAAGCAAAGGACTGAGTCTTCTGTCACATATTTAACCACTCACCAATTGGTTAAAAAATGAGAAGTCACCAAAGGAGAGTGGGGAAGACATTAAAAGGATACATCATTGACCTTACCTCAAGGAACGTACATTTATAAAGACAGATATGTGCTTTCATTACTATAATGGGGGAAGCTTTGATAAGTGTATCAGTTGCTGTATGTATAAATAAAGTCCTACTACATTTCAGATAAGAAACATGGCCAGGCAAGATGGCTTATGTCTTTAATCTCAGCTGTTTGGGAAGCCAAGTGGAAAGATTGCTTGAGGCCAGGAGTTCAAGACCAACCTGGATAATGTAAGAAGACCTCGTCTCTATAAAAAATTAAAAATTGGCTGAGCATGGTGGCACATGCCTGTAGTTCTAACCACTCTTGAGGCTGATGTGAGAGGATTATTGGAGCCCAGGAGTTTGAGACTGCAGTGAGCTAGGATTACACTATTACACTCCAGCCTGGTCAACAAAGGAAGACCTTGTCTTTGAAACAACAACCAAAAGAAAACAAAAAGAAAAAAGAAAAGAAAGATAACTTTTAGGCAGGGATAATTTAGAGTTTTCTTGAAATTTCTGCTCTGCTTCTTCTCTTCTTTCAAATAATCTGTTCTTTCAAGAGTTTCAAATGAATGAACAATGTGTCAATGAATGCACCACTGTCCCTCATAATCTCCTTTCTCCATTCAATGCTGGATGGTGCAGTGTAGTTACTTCTTACACATGGTCAAATCAGTCATTGACTAGACAGTGTCCTGTGGTTTTGCATGGAAATAAATTGAGATTTATCCCAGTTAACTGAATCAATAAGTAAAACAGAATGATGAAGAAAAGTAGAGTACAGTCGATTTATGTTAATTTCAGATGCTGGTGTTATATTGTATGGTCTCTTCCTGTTGTTTTCAGTAATACCCTGATTCCTACCCTTTCTCTGTCTGGCTTTTCATTTATTTCTGTAATTCTGTGACATCTGTCTGCCTCTCTATGTCTTCTTTTTTTCTTTGGAGAATTTGATGTTCTATGCCCCTTATATCAAAATGAATCCAGTCATGAACAGGGATCAAAGCAAGTCTTATTAAAGAGAAAACAATTGAGCTGGGACACAAAGATTGAATAAAATTTTAGCTTGCAAATATCATGCTGTGTAAATGAGTTCATCCTATCTCATGATGACAATTTGAATTTACACAGTTTTTTAAACTCTGGCAGAAGATTAGATAATCATTTAAGTCAGATGGTCATATTCTAGTTTAGAATAAACCCTCTCTTTTCAGTCGGGTAAGTTAGACTTAAAATGTCAGAATGTATTTTGTTCCTAATCAAGTGTTTCAATCATTACCCCTCATCACGTCTACCACTATGTAAATCAACTCATCTCTTTACTTGCATAAGTTCTTTATATGCAAATTATTATTTCATTCATTAAAAAGTTACTTTCACTTATTCTCTGTGTACAATAGTTTGCACTGTAACCCATGTTGATCTACCCTTATTTCTGCAAATACTATATGCATGTATTTCTCTTTCAGACACTCGGCCCTGATGCTTTTTTTGTGAGGGCTTTTCCTTTTTCCTCTTGGATTTCCACTAAAAGTAGTTGTAACATTGACTGTGTTCTTATTCCTCTGTGCCATTCCACATCATCAATCCGTGTTTCTCTTTCCTTATTAATATTTAAACTTCATATCCTGTGTCTCTCACCCTTTTTTTTTTTTTTTTTTTTTGAGACAGAGTTTCGCTCTGTCACCCAGGCTGGAGTGCAGTGGCGTGATCTCGGCTCACTGCAAGCTCCGCCTCCCGGGTTCATGCCATTCTCCTGCCTCAGCCTCCCGAGTAGCTGGGACTACAGGTGCCCGCCACCACGCCAAGCTAATTTTTTGTATATTTAGTAGAGATGGGTTTCACCATGTTGGCCAGGATGGTCTCGATCTCTTTACCTCGTGATTCACCCGCCTCGGCCTCCCAAAGTGCTGGGATTACAGGCGTGAGCCACCACGCCCCGCCATCTCTCACCCTTTTTAATTATCGTAGCCATCTACTATTGTCTTGTATGACCCTGTCAAGATGTATACATAGAGATGTATAAGCTTTTTCTTTACATGATCCTGGAAATCATCTTCGGTGATGTTAACATCTATATCAAGGATTCTTCTGAGTCTTTGATTATAAGATTCTTCAAACTTTTTAAGAGGACAGAATTTTATCTCCCTTCTAGATCATCATTATCTTAACTATTACATGGCAAATTGTGTCTCTTTCCTCTTTTTTCTACAATATTAATGCTATCTGTCATCTCCCTTATTCCAACTCCCTCCTATACACTAAACTTGCTTTTGTTTCAAAATGATTCACTAATCAATCATATTCTCTGACTTTGCCAGTTATTTTAGGCAACTTATTCATTGTGTTTTTTCCTAAGTTGCATAGACATTAAAATATAAATGCTAAGTAAAAGAGTATGAAAAAAAACTCTATGGAGAAAAATTGTCCTAATACAACCAAACCTATGCTTTTTCAATGCAGACAGCCCAGTCCCAAAAAAGCACCTGAAGCTTGTTTTAGTTTTCATTCTTCTTATGGTAAGAATACCTCAAAGACAATGAAAAAGATCCTCAAAGCAATGAATCCAAGGAAAGAATTTCATAAAGTTGCAAGATATTGTATCCTCTGTATGTAACACATCAAAAGTACAAGGTTTTTCTAGGGATAAACTGGAGCTGTCTTCAGAGGCCTCTTTATCAGGGATGCCTGAATATCTCACATGTACAAAGTAGAATACCAAAGGGACACTTGGTTTTGTGCCTGTAGCAGGTATTTTTTATCTAGCTATACTTTATTCCAAACTCCATATATTCACTCATCTCTCTATCTAGACTTCTGTTGACCAATGGAACTTCTTGTGAGGAAAGATACATTTTACATCTTCGTTGTGCTATGTTATCCACCAGGCCAATATGGCTATTAAAAGAGGCTAGTGGACTGAACAATTGGATTTTTAGATTCATTTAATTTAAACTCAAATAGCCACATGTAGCTAGCAGTTGCAGTACACAGAAAAGCTCTAGAGGTATTCACTTGAAATTTTTTGACATAAACTGAGAACTTTAAAAACACGGTCAGTGCTACCAAATGTTATTTTCTCTGCCAAGCATCTTACAACTTCACCTATATATGTGGCCTTTTGTATTTTCTAACAAGTTCAGAACTTGTCTATCAGAAATAAGCCAAAATAATCGACAATAAAAAAAATCAACTTTACCTTGACTCAGCTTTTAGTAGTAATCTTTCTTTTTTTTAACTTTTAAGTTCCAGTGTACAAGTGCAGGTTTGTTACACAGGTAAACTTGAGTCATGGGGATTTGTTGCACAGATTACTTCATCACTCGTGTAATAATCCTAGTATTCATTAGTTATTTTTCCTAATCCTCTCCCTCTTCCCACCCTTCACCTTCTTAAAGTCTACAGCACATGTTGCTCTCCTTTGTGTGTTCATGTGTTCTCATCATTTAGCCCCGACTTATAAGCAGGAAAATGTGGTATTTGGTTTTCTGTTCCTGTGTTAGTTTGCTAAGGGTAATGACTTCCAGCTCCATCTATGTCTCTGCAAAAGACATAATATTGGCCGGGCATGGTGGCTCACGCCTGTAATCCCAGCACTTTGGGAGGCCGAGGTGGGCAGATCACCTGAGGTCGGGAATTAGACACCAGCCTGGCCAATGTGGAGAAACCCCATCTCTACTGAAAATACAAAAATTAGCCGGGTGTGGTAGCACATGCCTGTGGTCCCAGCTGCTCAGGAGGCTTGAGGCAGGAGACTCACTTGAACCCGGGAGGCAGAGGTTGCAGTGAGCCAATATCACGCTGCTGTACTCCAGCCTGGGCGACACAGCGAGACTCCATATCAAAAAAAAAAAAAAAACAAAGACATAATATCATTCTTTTTATGGCTGCATAGTATTGCATGGTGTATATATTCTTATTTTCTGGTGCAACCTTTAAAAAAATTGACTTCTGACCAAATCTTTATCACACTGCAATATGGATTTTACACTAGTGTATTTCTTATGTCTAAAATATCTTAGAATGTATTTGTATAATATATTGGCAATCTAGATGAATGAGATATTGTTTATGCCTCTGAAAAGGAAAGTGGTGATCTAAAGAGACAAGACAAATTTCCTTGGGACTCCATATGTTTGATTTTGAGTACCTGATATTATTACTACTCTGTGAAATCTAAGTCTGTCTTAAATTCTGTGTCAGCTTCTGAGCATTGAACTTTTATTCTTTTTTTTACATATCTTAAAGTTACTTTGAAAGATGTTAGATATAAAATACTTACAGTTATGACTTCATTTTGTATTATTAATACTGATTATACATAATAAAAAGGGTGGTATAGAACTTAATATTTTACTTCAAATTCATAATATCATGAAATCTTGAATACATGTGAGATAAATGATTTGTTATTTAGTTCTTAATGTATGTTTATGTGATTACAATAGGCATCCCAACCCATCAATGATAGGCTTAGTAAAGAAAATGTGATATATATACACCATGGAATACTATGCAGCCATAAAAAGGAATGAGATCATGTTCTTTGCAGGGATATGGATGAAGCTGGAAGACATCATCCTCAGCAAGCTAACACAGAAACAGAAAACCAAACACCACGTGTTCTCACTCATAAGTGGGAGTTGAACATTGAGAACACATGGACATAGAGGGGAACAACACACCAGGGCCTGTGGGGGTTGGGTGGTGAGGGGAGGGGAACTTATGGGATGGGTCAATAGATGCAGCAAACCACCATGGCGTGCATATACCTGTGTAACAAACCTGCACGTTCTGCGCATGTATCCTGGTTTTTAATTTTAGAAGAAATCAAGAAAAAAAATAAAAACTAAAATTAAAAAAAGAAAAATCCCAAAATTTAAAATGAACCTTGAATAGATAAAGCAAAGCATTCCAAGCCAAGAAAACTGCATAAGGACATGAGGATAGGAGAAGTGTGTATACATATATATATACACTCACACACACACAAACACACACATATATAGTGGAAGTTTATGCATATGAGCAGAATGAAAATTTAGACTTGAAAGATACCTTTGCAAATTTAAGACCCAATTAGTACTTTTTAAATTTCCTAAGCTTAATATGAAAATTAATAATTATGTTTTTCTATATGGGATAAGAGGCAGATTTTAAATGAGAAGGACTGGGTCTGAGTCTTGGGTATGTTTTGATTAGTTGTATCATTTCCATTTCCTCATTAGCAAAATATAAACTATAATAATGTCTGGCAAACCCATGTTGCATTATTGCTGCCAGGATCATATTGCTGTGGGGTTGAGGTACAACGTACATCTCCTCCTCTTTGGTGATTTCACTGATAATGTGGATTTAAACATCTTTAACAAACTGGGAAAGGTAGTAAAGCTTTATATAGATGGTACTTCTCCCCGTACCTCCTAAAATGTTTTCTTGATACTTTTTGGAGAGAGAAATTGGGCCTGATGCTGAAGGAGAACTCTTCTGTCCACTGCAAGTCCACTTACATGAGCAGCTAAATAAATGAATGGGATTCTGAAGGACTGTATGTGGAGAGCAAGGTTAACCATTTGTGCTTGCTGCATGAGGTGAGAAAATGCGAAAAGAGAATGAGGAAATTTCAGCTGGGTCCCTCCCTTTAATTTAGGGTTTCTTCCCACTCTCCAGTGAATAAGCAACGATGAGTGTTAGGCTGTTTATTCAGATACCCTCACGCCACTGCAGAAGCGAGTAGAGGAAGAATACAAGGAAAAAAGTGTCTCCCAGCCTGTGGAAAGAGGATGGCTATTTCATCCACTAAAGGTATTAAGCAGAAATGTGAGTGAAAGATTCTGTCATTCCCAAAAATGACTAAAATAATATAAAATTCTAGAAATTTAAAATTACTGAGATCTTAATTTATTATCTCATAATACATAAGCAAAAATAATATAATCATAGAACTTATAGCAAGAAGAAATATATATCATATCATAGAAAGAAGAAATTGGTCCTACCTCTTTTTTTTTTTTTTTTTTTTGAGAAGGAGTTTCACTCTTGTTGCTCAGGCTGGAGTGCAATGGCGCAATCTCGGCTCACTGTAACCTCCACCTCATGGGTTCAAGCAATTCTCCTGTCTCAGCGTCCCGAGTAACTGGGATTACAGACATGCACCACCACACCCGGCTAATTTTTGTATTTTTAGTAGAGATGGGGTTTCTCCATGTTGGACAGGCTGGTCTCAAACTCCTGACCTCAGGTGATCCACCTGCCTCGGCCTCCCAAAGTGCTGGGATTGCAGGCATGAGCCACCGAGCCCAGCTTGTACTTACCTCTTAAAAGAAGGGCTAGAAAATATCTTGAAAAATAGGCAAAGTTATATTGCAGGGACATACATGTGAAAATCCGAATGGAAAGCACTGTCTTGTCAGCATACCAGTTCAAGTATTCACTTTTCCCCAACATATATGGATGACATTTGCTAAGTCAACCAGTGCTCTGAGTTTTAATTTTTTGTTAGTAAAATGAGAGTATTTTACATTACTATATCTGAGTATCAATCTCTCTCTCTTTGCTTCCATTGGAAATCCCTAAGTTTGCAGCTGTTTCAACAGCTGAAAATGTCTCCAAGTACCCTGAATAATGACAAATATTTGATTAAGCGGTAGAGATCACACTGCATATTTATCTTTCTTCTATTTCCGCAATAAGAACATGTTTGTTAATGACTATGGGCAGTCTTGAAGAGAAAAGAAGTTAATAGAAGGAAAACTGCAGAAACATGCCAGAGAGAAAAAATGTAGACAAAATTGATACCACTGGTGACAGTGGGAAAGGGAGTATGGCCTAAAACTTTCTTTATATCACCAGTTGACAGCACTGCTTTATGCAACCCACTAAGACTTTAGAAATGACTAAATTAATATCTAGTTAGAGTTAATTTTGATAAATTCTAGGTATTACCTATTTTATGTAGCATAAGAAGAGTTTATATAGCAGGTTCTCAAATATCTCCAAGTAATTGGGTTTTCTCCCACATCCCAAAGGTGTACACTTTAAGTGAATTGGTATGTCTACATCATCCCAGGAGGAGTGAATGTCTGTGTGTGTGTACCTGAGATAAGATGATGTCTTGTCCAATGCTGGTTTCCACCTTGTGCCCTGAGCTGTTGGGAGAGGCTCCTGCGACCTGTGACCCTGAAGCAGAATAAGTGGACTGAATAAAGGAATGATGCGTATAAATGATTGTAAAATAAAAATTTGTAAAGTAGATTATAATTACACAAGTGCACTTTAATAAACAAGGTGGAATCAAAGCACACAGTGAACGCACCATGTTTGTGATTATTTTTGAATTGAGTGCTGGATGGAGATGCTCCTGATAATTTTCATTTTCCAAACATTTATTCTTGGTTTTAACCCACCACCACTAAAACCACAGTCACTGACTGATTCACTGAACACTGGGTAAATAATTATCATACTTGTTTGTATTAATCTTTCTTATATATATATATAGCTCACATTTATTTTACACTTTATATTAGGAGGGCTGGAGGTATTTATTTAGAAGTTTGGAGATGTTTTTGTGACAACAAACATGCTGTAGGATCTTAACTCTTGTTTATATCTATTAACCTATGGTACAATTGGTTTTCTTACACATCGTTTTGCTTAAATTTGTGGTTTCCAAAAACTATGGACGATGTTATGCGAGGACTTAATGCATTTCAACACTGCCTGGGTATAGATGTTGAAGTTGAGTGAGTGGGGATTATAGAAAACTAATACAAAAACTATAAATTCAGTGTTCAACATAAATTTGGCTGGGTGAGGTGGCTCATGCCTGTAATCCCAGTACGTGGGAGGCCGAGGCAAGAGAATCGCTTTGAGCTCAGGAGTTCAAAAACAGCCTGGCCAAAGTGCCAAAACTCTGTTTATTAATTCATTTTCCCACTGCTATAAAGCACTGCCTGAGACTGGGTTATTTATAAAGGAAAGAGGTTTAATTGACTCACAGTTCAGCATGGGTCAGGAGGCTCAGGAAACTTACAATCATGGCAGAAGGCTAAGGGGAAACAAGGCACCTTCTTTATAAGGCAGCAGGAAGGAGACTAGCCGAGCAAAGGGAGAAGAGCCCCTTATAAAACCATCAGAGTTCATGAGAACTCACTTATTATCACAAGGCCAGCATAAGGACAGCATACAGGAAACTGTCCCCATGATTCAGTTACCTTCACCTGGTCTCTCCCTTGACATGTGGGGATTATGGGGATTACAATTCAAGATGAGATTTGCGTGGGGACGTAAAGTCTTATCATATCACCCTGTCTCTACAAAAATTCAAAAAGTAGCCAGATGTGGTGACAAGAGCCTGTGGTCCCAACTACTAGAGAGGCTGAGGCTAGAGAATCACTTGAGCCCAGGAAGTGGAGGTTACAGTAACCTTAGGTCACACCACTGCACTCCAGCCTTGGTGACAGAGTGAGACCCTGTCTCAAAACAAACAAACAAAACCCACACACACATGAAATCACCAGAAAAATTGGATGTTATGTAACTTTTAATTCACTTGCTAATTTTTTCTATAATGTATTTGTTATAAGTGATACAAAATCATCAAAAACATGTTTGCCAGATTTGACTTCCTGGTCATTTTATTGTAAATATTCAGAAACGATTTCCCTGTTTACTAAATCTCATGCAATCATTCAACTTCTTAAAATAACAAATCTTGAACACATGCAATATTGTAAACATTTGGTATGTTACTAAGGACTTATCAAATCTTAAGGCATACAGAGAACAGATTTCATTAGTGGCAGAGAAAGAAATACAAAAAAATTAAGCAAAACTTGACAATGTAGGAAACCCAGATAATATCCTTTATCATCACTAGTCCAAAAACATCTGAATCTGAAGATTCCATTGAAAATCTTTTATTAATTAGATGTGGAAAATCAGTTAAATGTGTAAAAAATAAAGAATTTTCAATAAGACCAGTTTATGTTGCTAAACCTATTCTTGTAGGTGAGTTTAGTTCTCCTCGGAGAAATGAGCTGAGGGCCCAAAATTGTAACTCAGTGAATTACAAAATTGTTATTGTTTCCCAAAGTATTATAGTTTCACATTTTCACGTTAAAATTTCTTCTTTTTGAAGATATTTGTTCCCTGTTACCTCTTAAATGTTCTATTTATATCACTCTCTTTTTAAAATTAATCACAGTTCAAAATCCTGCACCTGGTTAGATTTATTCAATTAACAAAATACCTTATTTTAAAGTGAGCAAATTAGCTCAGAGTCTCTTTTCCAATCTTTTCACTGATTGATTTGTTAAATCTAATTACAGAGTTGTGCCTTTATTTGGCATGACCATATAAAAGCTTATCCTGGACCCCTTAACAAACATATTCAATATATAATGACCATAAAATATCACCCATTTCCTGTGACCTTACCTTTTGCATGGCAGATCAGGAGGCAGACATAAATAATATGAGACTAGAGTCCTCATTAAGTAAAGGTACAGTTCTGTTTATTCAGTTTTCATATGGGTTTATACAAAGTCATGTGAAAATGAGAACCGCCAAATCTTACTTTCATTGGTTTTGCATACAGCATTTCTGTTCATAAATAGAAGGAGCTCCTGATTTTAAAAATACTCCATGTAATTAGCAGGCATTTAATCACACTCATACATAAAGTATGAGTAAGGAATTGAATAAACACCAAAGTTAGGTGTAGTGGGTTGAGATCCCACTTGTCAGCTATAACAGAGAAAGCCTATGATATTTCATAAGTTTGCATGTACTGTCTGGTGTTTTTGGGGCCAGGAATCCTTGGTCATTACAGGGGTCTGCTGCTTGAAGAATTACCTGATAGACTGGTGAGCAAAACAGACATATAATATTATAAACCATAGCTACATTAGCAGCTTCTAAGATTTCCTTTAAAGGTAAATGGGTTTTGCATCTCCGATATAAACTCCCTAGAGAACTACCATATTTAAATTTTTATATTTTATAAAATGCTATGTCAAATTTCAATTTAACAAGATTTTTAATACACCTCACGGAATATTTTACTCTAGTGACGCCAATAAATAGCAATACGACCCTTTGAATGAAGAAGACTGTTTTTCCACTTAAGCTTTCTACTTGTATCTACTTTTTTCATTTTATATTATTTGATCATAAAATTATTTAATAACCCTCAATAGCCTTCAAGGGAAAGTGGAAACTTCTAAATTAGTGCTTATGGTGAATAGTGATGTGACATTTCCCCAATTCTAGTTTAAATTCTACTATTCACTCTCTTTCTTTGGAATAAGTGTACCACTTACTCCAAATAAATCAATCAAGTTATGCTTACTTGAATGTAAATGGTCATTTACATTTACCCGTAGCTTAACTTCTATCATAAGTAGCTACTCAGGACATGCCTGGCATATAAAATGTACCAAATTAAAATCAGTTTTTGGGGTGCCGTGGCCCATGCCTGAAATCCTAGCATTTTGGAAGGCCAAGGCAGGAGAATCACTTGAGCCCAGGGGTTAGAGACCAGCCTGGGCAACATAATGAGATCTCACCTCTATGAAAAAATTTCCAAAAACTTCACCTGGTGTGCTGATGAACTTCCATAGTCCCAGCTACTGAAGAGGCTGAGGTAGGAGAATTGCTTGAGGCGTGGAGGTCCAGGCTGCAGTGAGGTGTGATCACGCCACCGCACTTAAGCCTGGGTGACATAGTGAGACTTTGTCTCAAAAAATAAAATAGTTTTTGATTCAAGACACTTTTAAATCATTTTGGAAGATGCATAGATATATGTATTATAATTATACATATATAGAAAGAGATTGATACACCTACAGAGATATGCAGATTAAATAATGTTAATGTATTATTTCCCTATTGCTTTTCTGTTGTCTGTAACAAATTACTGTGAGAGCCGTGGTTTTTCTCCCGCCCCTCGTGACCAGTGAACATGGCTTTTGCATGCAGTGAACATGACCAGGTTCCCAAGCTGGGAGGGGACAGGGCATGAATTTGTCAAGTTCCCTGAGTGCCTGTGGATGTGGGGGTGGAAACAGAACCATGTTGTTCTGATTTGCACCTTTGATGGCTGAGCCAAATGCTCATTCTATTTAGTATTACAGCCGTAATCTGTAGCAAAACGCTTAGCATTATAAAGGAAAGATCAGAACCATTTCAAACCATGAGAGAAGACAAGACACCAAAGGAAGTCTGGGGTTCTTGACCAATGGAGCTCACCCTTGGGGCCTTCCAGCAAAAGATGCCTTCAGTTGCCCCGGGGCTTTACTCCCGACCCATGTGGTAGTTAGACCTCCCCGAAAGGAAACAGAGCATGAAAGAGAGAGGTGGCAGGGTCTTGGAAAAGAGACAGATCCGACAGTTTTCCATTTCAACTCACCCTTCTGATGAATATCCCAGATGGAGCCCCCAGATGAAATGGCCACGGCAACGGCCACGACGGGCGGGGGAAAAACCACAGCTGCCACTGGGAGCCTGCACGGTTGGCTGGCTGGCGCTTGCTGCCCGGTGTGCCAGTGGAACTCTACTCTGGCCAAGGAATTCAGCTCTGTCTGAACAGAGGGGAAGCATACAATGATTAAGGAGACACATTTGCGCTGAGCAAGGGGTTCTTCCCCCAGGACCTTCCCCTTTTGTTCCTTAAACTGTTTTCTCTTGTTTTCCTTTTCCAAGAGGTTTTCTTCCCCAGCACGCTGCTTCTGTTAGGGAAGTTAATGGAGAAGCGACCCCTACTGGCTGATAACTGCAAATTTAGCGGGGCTCATTTGAGATAGTTGATTCATGCAGCCACTTGAAATACTTTTGAGTCCCAAACTTGATTACAAGCTTCAGGCTGAGGCCCTAGAAAGGAAAACCAGATCTGAGGGATCCAAAGCCAGGCAATAGGCACAATGTAAATGGACAGGACCAATTCCTGCTGACCAAAGCCCCCACCCCACGGAAACAGGCCATGCTCTGTGGCGTAAATGAGACCTAGGAAACTCAAAGGTTGTCAACAGCAGGGAAAGATGGAGGCGAAGGTAAGGTCAGAAAATTCCTGTTCTCTACGCTTTCCCTGTTTTATGGGTGCATGCTGCATTGGCACCCATGAGCAGTACCTGCCAAGGTCACCTGGACACAGGGATAAAAAGATGGAAGAGAAAGGGAGGGCACTTGTTTTCTCTCTCCACACCCCGAGGTTCGCTGAAAGAAGGAAGGGAAGTGAGGGACGGCTCTATAGCCTATCTTTCGGAATGAGTAACCAGCTCTCTTCACCACCCCCAGCTTGTACTCTTCTGGAATGTATTCTAAACCATTGGAACTGCTTTGACCCTCAGAATCTGGAGGAAAAAAAATGTCTCATAGTCCTCTGTACAAAGATTTGGCCAAATTATGATTTATAGCAAGGACTGGCTTGGCCTCAGGAAGGAACCATTTATTTCAATACCATCCTGCAATTGGACCTTTTCTGTAAACATGAGGACTAGTGGTCTGAGGACCCATATGTGCAGGCTTTCTATATCTTGCAGGGCAATCCTGATCTTTGCCAACAGTGTAGGATTGATCCAGCCCTCCTGTTTGCCACTTCGGGAGAGGCTACCAGGGGCAATCTCAAGCAACTAAAGAAAGAAACCCCAGAGGTTCCCCCAGAAGAGGAGCCAGCTCCCTCCAACCCTGCTCCTTCAGGTCCTCCCCAACTTCCCTATCCAGCTTCAGCCTCTCACATTTCCCCTCCAAGAAATTCTCACCCTAGACAAGCCCCAGTCTTACTCTTGCCTCTGCAACAAGTGCCTGGTGAATTTGGCCCCAGTAAGGTCCAGACCCCTTCTCTTTATAGGACTTAAAGCAAATTAAGGGGGCTATTGACAAGTTTGTAGAGGACCCTCACAGATATATAGAGGCTTTCCAGAATTTCACCCAAAGATCTGAACTCTCCTGGAGAGATATTATGTTACTTGTGAATCAGACTCTGATGCATACTGAGAAGCAAGCCACTTTGCAAGTGACAGGGAGATTTGGGGAGGAGCTTTGTATAACATATAGCATCAGGGAAGACGGTGAACATTATCTAACTGGTAGAGAAGCAGTACCAGTGAATGACCCTGGATGGGATCCCAATGATGAGATGAGAGACTGGAATAGGAGACACTTCTAGGTATGCATAATCGGGGTCTTAAGACCAGGATCAAGCCTCCCAATTATGCTAAATTGTCCATGATCGATCAGGGATTTGATGAAAATCCCACTGCCTTCTTGGAATGGCTAAGAGAAGGCTTGGTAATGCACACCTCTCTGTCTCCTGATTCCATCGAGGGACAACTAATCTTAAAGAATAAGTTTATTATTCAGGCAGCCCCTGATATCAGGAGGAAGTTGAGGGAACAGGCCCTGGGACCAGATAGTACTTTAGAGAACCTTCTGAAAGTGGTCACCTCGGTCTTTTATAGTAGGTCACTGGAATGGATTCTTGAATTTATTATACCCAAGTAAAGGCCTGGGAAATGGATGGAGCCACTTCTGTCAACCCAGAAGAGTACCCAAAGTACCAACGTGAAGAGATCAGGGACCTCGAGCTAAAAATCACAAAAGATAAGTGTTAATAATTAACCTTCCATGGACATCCTCTATATAGTCTTGGCTATGCTTGCTGTTCTTACCTTTGTTCTGTTCTGTATCACGGGGCACGACAGTGTTTTCAGAATAATTAATATATTTCACTTCTTATTTCTGTAATTGTTGGCACTAAATTCTTTCCTTGTCCAAGACGCATGTTTAACCTATGCATACGTAACTTTATAAAAATTTGTTTTGTTTCTTCTCTCACACCGAGAGGCTATCGAACTCCAAACGGTCAGGTAACCGGAGCCTCGGACAATGGCTCCCCTTTGCCAAGAACCCTTAGGTAGAACTCTGGAAGGAATCTGACTTCCCTTTTCCCCAAAACAACGTTCCCTGTCAACATGAAGTAGCTAAGACCGGTCGTTGTCTATATTCTAACAGCAGTTAGGTGTGCCTCTTCAGAGGGAGGAAATGATACGGGAGGAGGGCAGGGAAGTGCTGGGTAGAGAAGGTAAGAGTCTCTGGTGAGAGCGCCACCCTCGGGCCTGTGCCTGCGGACCTAAGTGAAGACAGGCACTCCTGTTTTCACGTCTGAATGTTGCATTTTCCAAGACCACTCTGGCCTGCCAAGCGCCCCATACTGTGCCGGTATAAACCCGAGACCTTAGCAGGCATACACACAAGTGACTGAACACCAAGAGGAGCAGAGGAACAGAGCATCAGGGAATGGCAAACAGTGGCAGAGGAAGGAGAGAAGAAGTGTTTGAAGGTCGAGGGAAGTTCAGCCATTCTTGAGGAAGATTATCTCCCCGCAACTCCACCTTCCCACTCCAGATCCCTAAAGCCACCTCCACTACTTAATAAAGTCTCCACATTCATCACCTTTCAAACAGTTCATGTGAGCTGAGTCGTCCAGGATGCTGGACAAAAATCTGGGCGGGAGGTGGTTAATACTTACCCACCCGCGGGCAGCAAGGCTTGAAACACACACCTACTTGGGCTTTGGCATCTATCCATCTGCATACTCCCCCTTCCCTCAGGGTTTGAGATTCAGGGCAACCCAACAGGTGAGCCACACCCCTGTTGCACGTCCTGTGAGGGGAATCTGGGAACTCTACCAGTTCATTATGCATATTTTAAATCAAATAGCTCAGCTATTGAATTAAATTAAATGACACATGTTTTGGGTTGTATTTATTAGTGTTAAATTTTAATTTTTTGATCTCAAGGACAATTTGTTATATATTTTTTAATATATTGATTATGGAAATGCTGAATTAGCTGATTTATTTTCAATGTTAATTAATATGATCGATGTCAAACTATCTACTGATGGTCTCCGCCATTTTTGGAAGACAAATCTAACCCTCTAAAACTTAATAGGTAGATATTTTAATTACAAAAAAATCCATATTACTGTCTAAACAATAGATAGACCACAACTGGAGTATTTTGCTGTATTAGAAGCAATTTCAGTTTATGATCTTACTAAAGAAAAATAACCTATTGCTAGGATTTAAGCTGTAAAAGTGCAACATATACTTATCTCTATTTAATGATCATTAATTTTATAAATAATATTTATATTAAAATGTAAGCCATGATGTTTAAATTTAAATAAAGAAAGAAACTATATTACTGGTATACTAGTTAGGGTTCTCTAGAGGAACAGAACTAATAGGATATATGTATATGTGAAAGGGAGTTTATTAAGGAGAATTGACTCACATGATCACAAAGTACAGTCCCATGATATGTCATCTGAAAGTTGAAGAGCAAAAAAGCCAGTGATGGATCAGTACAAGTCCCAAAACCTTAAAAGTAGGGAAGCCAACAGTGCAGCCTTCAGTCTGTGGCCAAAGGTCCAAGAGTTTCTGGCAAACCACTAGTGTAAGGCAAAGAGTCCTAAAGCTGAAGAACTTGGAGTCTGATGTTCAAAGGCAAGAAACATCCAGCATGAGAGAAAGATGAAGGCCAGAAGATTCAATAAGCCTGTTCTTTCATCTTCTCCTGCCTGCTTTTTTCTAGCGATGCTGGCAGCTGATTAGATGACGCCCACCCAGATTGAGGGTGGGTCTGCCTCTTCCAGTCCATTGACTTAAATGTTAATCTCCTTTGGCAACACCCTCACAGACCCAGGAACAATACTTTGCATCTCTCAATCCAATCAAGTTGATGCTCAATATTAACCATCACAACTGGGGTTTATGTAATACGTAGAATATTTGATCGTTTAGGCTGCTGACAGAATTTGTGCTGTGTCAGAATCCGATCAATCAATTAACTGGGAAAAGAAATAACAAATTTTGCAAAAATTTTAAAAATAATAATTCATAATCAAATAAATCATATCCCAATCTTGTTTTCCTTAGAATAATAAAATATATGGCATTCTTGGTATCAGTTTCCTATTTGTGAAATATGGAGGTAGGTTAATTTAGTACTTCAATTTCTTTTATTTTCAATATCCTTATTCCAAAGTGTATGAAGTTATATTTATAATCATTAAAAATGAAAACAGTTTGAAATTGTTATATATAAATATGTAATATATAATATATGACATCACACATTAAATGTAAAATTTAAAATGTATCAATCATTTTATAAATAAAATTATATGTTTCACTATGACAGAGTACAGGAAGCCTTAGAAGATTTTTCACTAAATTAAAAATACTGGTTTTTTAGATATTTTATTATTCAACACTAAATTCATATTTCATGGGTTGCCTTATAGTGAGCAATTATTGTCTAAGTGCATAGCCAATCAGGTTTCCGCCAGCATGAACATCATGAGTGAATGTATGCAAGTTAACACTGATTGATGGTTCCCTAAAGCAAGGATTGACTAACTATGGCTAGTATAAGCCAGATCATGTCTGATCCCTGGTTTTGTAAATCAAGTTTTATTGAAACTTGATTCAACACGCCCAGTTACATGCCTATTATCTCAGATGCCTTTCACACTACAATGGCAAAATTGTAGTAGTTGCAACAGACCATATTGCCTGCAAAGCCCATTATATAAAATAGTTGTCAACTCCTTTGAGAGTAATGAAGAACTAAACAAACACAGAAAACAGTAACATTGAACAACAATAAGTAAAATGCCAGAGTGAGTATGAGTAACAAACAGAAATTGAGAAATGAATAAGAATGTGCATTTTGTACAAAGCGTTTTTCTGAATTGAGTAAATTAAGTAGATTTCACCTGTAGAGTTACATAAATAAAAATTAAATATAAATATGTGTGTAATATCAATTTAATAAACAGTCTGGGTCTATGAGCTTTTTCCCATTGTCCATGAGCTGGAACAAGCTTAGAGTGAAATAGTTGCAGAACTATCCATGAGGCTTGATGGTTAAACACTATGGCCAACACACAAGTGGTTGTCTACATCAAATGTACACAAATGAGTTCTAAACCTAAATGACTGACATGGTATCTCTGAAATCATTAAATTATTTAAAACCGTGTAAGCCCCAAGAACTTTATAACTGTAAATGTCAAGAAAGGTCCCTGGCAATAGTTGTGGGTTCTTTAGGGCTTTTAATGACTTTTCATCAAGGGCAGCTCAACCTCAACAAGTAAGGTCTTCCGTTGCTGAACAGAAGCAACAGTTTCTGTTGTTTTAATTAACCCCATTGGTTTTTATTATAGATCCCTTGACAACAGTTTGATTTAGGAGTTGCACAGGGCCTAGCCTTGAGGATCCAGTGTCCACACTATTGGCATCCTTTCTTAAGTAAGAGGAAGAAATTTGAAGCTAATAGACTCCAATGAGACCTACTGTGAGTTCATTCTGTAATCTATTTACATTATTTTGTTTATATTTATATTATACTATTTATTATTTTTATTATATCTGCATAAATTATATATTATATATAAATTATATATATAATTTATTATTACATTTTAATTATATTATTTCCTTTCTTCTATATTGGGAATCTAATAACGAATGATATCCTGTAAAGTTACTCTTATTGAAAGGCCACATTAGTTTGCGTTTCTACATTTTTTATTAACTGTCAATTCTATTTGTGAAGTCCAAACTATGAATAACAAAGCATAAATCAGTAGAGAAAAGCGAAAAGGGTTCATCCCCTTCCACAATCTAGTACATACTGTGACCCAGGGAAAGGCAGTGATTATTCTTTAAAAATTTAGTGGTCCTATCAGATGAGACGATAATACTTATTTCATGATTTCTGAATAGTCTTTTGCCTTGACCACCTATAATATATGAGAAAAAAGAAAATAATAAGGAAAAGAATAGGTTAAAACATGGAAAATGATTTGCTTTTTAGTGGAATTGACATATCATTTTTATGCAAATGTGTCTTCCCTCTTTCTATTCTGTGAGCTATTTCTCTCACAAAAAGATTTTTAGACTAATTGTTGTATCTGCCACTTGCTAAATCTGTTTTCTAAATTACAAATTCAGCCTTCGCTGCGGGTGTACTGCCAGCCCCTTCTTTCACAAAAGATCTTTGTACTAATTGTTTTATCTGCTGCTGGCTAAATCTGTTTGCTAAATATACCTTTCATTGAAATAACAACAAAACCTACTCAGGAAGCAATTAGCAGGTATGGACATTTTTTTGAAAAAAAGCGGAGCTTATATACTTTAGATTGTGTAGGAGGGCCTGAAAGATAGATGTACAAATCATGTATCAGTCAAGGGATTACAGGACTTTAAGAAGGACATAATGTTACTTCACAAATGTGTTTTCCAAGAGTTTACAAAAGTAGGTCTTGATACTCATGTGCCTAAAACCATGTAAGTATGATATGAGACTTTTTATGTGCTATTATCAAAAATAAAATTTTAAAATATGTGTTCTGAATCTTAAATAATGTTTTGCCAAGGTTTTAAGTTTTCATGGATTTTCTTCTCTAAATCTTAATTAAAATTTGCTGAATATACTATAGTTTTGCCTCAGAAACAGACATATAAAGCACTATGCTTCTAATGGTTAAAAAAGACATAAAATAAACCAAAGGAAAAATGAGCTTTTATTATCATTATGGTATATTACCATGTTGAATTTTAAATTTATGAACTAATATCAATTTTCTCTCTTTAAAAATAATATGCATAAAATTTTTCCTTCTTAATTGGTTTAAAATCTCAGGAAAACAATCAATACCAACATACTGAAAAAAATTTAGGGGATTGCTGAATATATGTGAAGCAAATTTTATATAGTTTGAAAATGAGTCTCTCATTTCTGCCACAGGCACAGTTGAGGTTGTGAGTTAACCATGTGATTTACTCGATTATGTTGATACTTCTGTAGTGTTTCGTGTAATGAAATTTGCAAATAATGTGAATTTTCTCATTCCAACTGCATTTTACTAATAGCAGAAAATTTTCTAAATTTCAAGATAAAAACAGACTTCTAATGTGCTAGATTCTCTTTCCCAGTGGAAATTTGTTCAAAATGTTGTTTTAGATTTGCTTACAATGTTGTTTTAAACCTGTTTAAAATTTTAAAACCATATGGACAATGGTTTTACTCTTAGACTTTTAAACAATACGGTTTTATCATGGATTCCCAAAGTATGGTGACAACTTCTATCACAAAATAGTCTATATCTAAATAGAAACTGATAAAAATGGAATAAAACTTTCTCTATTAGAGTGTATTTGCTTGTAGCATGTTTGGCAACATAAATGGTAGAAATATAAGTTAATCAGTGAATATTAATTTTAAACTACTTATTATATATCCGTGTTTTGGGTTATATAAAGAAGAAATATGTCTATTATTTCGGAAACAATATCAATAAATAGTTATGGTGGACAGATTAACAATAAATCTGGCCCTGAATGGTACTAGAAACGTGAATATTTTATTGATGCTCAGGAAAAGAAAGGCAGTATAAATAACAATGTTTTAATTTTACTTCTGATGAAATATCTGAAAATGGTAATTATTTAACTTAGAGCAATCAAAATAAGAATATTGCTTACTCCGCAATATTCTCCATTGCAATTTTAGAAGAAAGATCAAATAAACACAAACACACTTACATGTGTATGAGTATATACATACATATAATTTTCCACCTAATTTGCATTTTACTAAAATATAAATAAATATTTTTAAACATGATATTCTATACACAAATGCTAATTTAAAAATAAATGACAGAATTGAAATGTAGTTTTTACTTGTGAATTAAAATATAAACTGTTTAATATTATTAGTAAAATATTATTGTTCCTGTTTTTTATTGAGCATACAATGATGCAGCTTTGATTTATTTAATATTCTTTTGTTTTGCTGATTTTTATCTGTATATATTATTGAATTTTTTTTTTTTGAAACAGAGTCTTACTCTGTTACCCACGCTGGATTACAGTGGCTCCATCTCAGCTCACTGCAACCTACACCTCCTGGGTTCAAGGGATTCTCTTGCCTCTGCCTCCTGAGTAGGTAGGATTACAGGCGTGCATCACCACACCTGGCTAATTTTTGTATTTTTAGTAGAGACAGGTTTTACCATATTGTCCAGGCTGATCTCAATCTCCTGACCACAGGTGATCTGCCTACTTCGGCCTCCCAAAGTACTGGGATTGCAGGCATGAGCCACCATGCCCGACCAAGACATTGATTTTTTTATTAAATTACCCTTACCAGGACTTAAGGATGCCATTTTGTCATTTATTCTAAATAACAAGAATAATTGTATGCACAATTTGTTGCTCCTCAGTATTTATTTTTATTGATATAAAATTTTTACTTTTCTCATTAAACTAAAGTGAATTCAATAATTAGAGTATATAGTTATGAACATATTATCAATATTGCTTTTATGTGTATTTATAATGTATTAAATATTAAGTCATAAAATAAGTCCCTAAAAATCTTTTTATTCCAAATGTTTAGTGTAAAATATATTTTAATTTTCACCTGCTCTACCATCAGTTTAGTAAAACCACTACCTAGAAAAACACAGGGACTCAATGTTTGGCACATCTCATTGCCTTGTATTTTTTTTTCTTTTTTTGGTTTGGTTTTGTGTCGTCTTCCATTCACGTGCTCTGTTTGAAATTCTTTCCTCCTTTGTAATCTGTAATAGAATCTTTCAGTTGATTTTTATTCTAAACTGATAACAAACTGGATTTCAGTTTCATTTGTGAAGTATTCACATCCTAAATATAAATGTTTTTTAAGTTGTCTCATTAAAAAAATCATTTTAAAGCTATCCCCTAGAAATCACATACTCTAAGATTTTTCTGTACAGATGCTTATATAGTCTAAGTCTTCTGTATTTTTGCTCATGTCTCTGTAATCAAGTCCCATATTAGCAATAGCCTGTAGGAATATTCACATGCTTACTTTAAACTTAACATGCTCAAAATAGAAACTACAGTCATTTCTTCAACAACAGCTCCTATAGACGTACTTATTGAAGTCATCACTAGCATTAACATATAAATCCATCTTTCTGTCTGATGGTTGCAGCATTTAGATAATTTCAAGGTCTGGATGTGCTGACTACTTTATCTTTTAACAATGGCTATTTTTTCTAACTTTTTTATGTAACACATCTTAGATTTTAGAATGAAAATTATGTGCAAATGAACAGTGGAGAATGAGGTAAACATTTATGTTTTGAAATGGGTCTGTCCTTTCTTTTGTCAAGTCGTAATTGTAAAGTATTTAGTCACTGTTGTCAGGAGTTGAGTTGGGTTTGGGTTTTGTTGTGGCTACATTTATTACCTTTATACTGAGATGTCAATTTCCTTTCATCTTGGTCAGCTGGTACCATATACTGGATGTGGGGTCTGGGGTGCTGAAGAGATTTTTGTGTTCCTAATCTACTTTCCGCTTTCCGTAATTTCTGAACAAGCCTGTGCCACAGAGAGTGTTTATATATCATTTTGTCCCTTCCACAATAAACAGTAGACTGTCATTTCTGTTAATGGGTGCAGGTGTCAAAGTGGAGGTAGGGTTGGTTCTGTCTTCCACTTCGTCAGCCTCATTGACTTGGCCTTTACAAATGGAGCTTTTTCAGTGTGACTTATGACAGCCATTATCTGCCTTGTGTCTGAGAGAGCCTTGGGCAGGAACAGTTTTCACAACTTACCATGACAATACTGATCTCGCTTTGAATCAGTGCTTTGAATCAATCAACCCCAGTAGGCTTCTTGCTCTCCACCAGAGACTGCCAGGTTTTGGGTCTATTCCTCCCTCAGAGGCAGTGCACCATTGCCTGAGACTAGGTCCAAGATGGTAGTATCCTGCTTCTTTCCCAGTGATATTGCTTATTTGTTTGTGCAAAGCTTGTTGTGACAGCAGAGGTAGTTTGTTATCTCTTCCCCCAGAGGTAGATTGCTTCTACTTCTACCTAGAGGCAGTGGACTTATTCTACAACGCTGGGAGCAGAACTGTTTCCTGCCCATAATGGAGCTGTTTATGGCGTTTACTTTTCTGAGAGAAAAGTTCCAGAACATGGTCAGGGCTTCATGTCACTGTCCACGTTTGTCAGTTTTGTGCCTTTGTCCAACCAAAGGTTCCTCTCTCAGCTCTTTGCCCTGCATGTAGTTTATCTCATGAGTATCTAGAGGTGAAAAAGACCTCACAAGTTAGTGTAAACTCCATTATGTCTGAGGCTCCCACTACGCTCTCTTACTTGACAACATTTGACCCTGAAGAATTTGTAAAGTTTTCATTGTTTTCTTCTTTCACATTTCTAGAGCATGAAACTCTAAAGAAAGAAACACAAAGTCCTTGGTACCATGCTCCACCTTGTGTTTCTTGGAGAGGCTTGGCACCTTGGTTCACCTGGTAACCTTGGAACCACAGCTTCCTGACTGATGCACTTGAGAAATGTTAGGATTCTGTTGACTACCCTGTTGCCTTTTGTTTGTTTGTTTGCTTTAGGGTGGAAGCAATGTCTACTTGCGGCTTTCCACCTTCTAAGTGGAAGCAGAACTTGGTTGCAAGTAATTCATTTAGGAGGTAATTCCTGCAAACAATGTTGAGTGAATGGGAAAGTGAGCAGCCGGTGGAAGGCAATGCAAATTGCATCAGAGAATAGGTTGTAACTGTATAACTAGAAACCTCTGGGAGACTGTGTAGTGCTTGTCTCAGAGCTTTCTTACCTGAAAATAAAAAAGCTGGGGTACTCATCCACTTAGTATTTTCTCCATCACTTCCATCTTCATCAACTTATTTCTAAGGTTATTCTGATAGGCAAGTTATTTATTGGAAATTATGAATTTACCTTCCTACCATTTATCTGGCTGAGTCTGATTACTTTGTCCTTTTGCTTTTCTTCGAAACTGTTATAATTTTCATAATTCTAACCAATTTATGTATTTTAACATATTTTAGCGTGATAGGAATTTTTGAGAAATTAATTTTAATAAGCATATATCAAATTTACTTTGCATTTATATATCATATAATATGAAGTTAATGTTTATTTTGTCTTATAATGAATGATTTATAGAATTCTGGGAGTATGGATGGATTCTCGTGGTAATTTACATATCTCTCTTAATACATCACCTGTGCATATCAGCCCTAAGAATATAAGTAAACCTCTCTGAGCCCAGTAGAGTTTATAGTTTCAATTTAATCTAGTCTCCACCTACTGTAATTAAAGGCCGTAACTGGAAATATAGTCATTGATAAATGTGTGCTAGGAAAAGAGGGCTGTGTCTGCTGATTGTTTTGTAATTAATCACCGTGGTGAGAAGCTACAATATTGTTATACTCAAATCTTCAGGTATGATCTTCAGCTAAATAATATATGACTCCAAGGATGTTAAATAATTTAATGTTCAAATGATCTATTTCAATCAAGAGTTATCACAAAAGCCAATAATGGAGAGTGCTTTCAAATCAAGAGCTCAAATGCTAATTAGAAGATATGCAATAAGAGCCCAGAAAAAAGACGATTGCATTTGGTATAGAAATCATGCAAAAGCAGTTTTCATACAGTTACGAGGGGTGAAAGGGCTTCCAGAGAGAATCTGAGACAAGTGATTAAGTAGAAGTGCTATTTCCCCTGCCATGAATGGAAAGACAGAAATGGAATGGCAGCCAGAGTAGGGTGTATTTGAGTCTTTGCTTGCTATTTCCTCTGAGAACAGCTAGAGCATATTTATATGTTGCTGATGGGAATTTTCCAGTGAAAATGGCCATTGGGAATTAATGACAGTGGGGGGGGGGGTCGAAATGCTGAAGTCAAGTTTTTGCAAAAGGTATAGAGTGTGGAAAACAAAAAATAATTTAATGAATGTGTTGTCCTTACATAAGAACAATAAGACCATAGTAAACACATCACTTTGTAAAAATATAAACATACATATTATCACTACAAAAGCCTAGGTTGATGATTTGAAGTGTGATAATGAACAAGATTCGTTTGACAGCTCCTATTTTCTCATTAAGGTAAGAGGCCTTCGGAAAAATGTATGCGTAGGATTACTGGCATATTTAAAGCACATTTTAAATAAAAATTATATATTTTACACTAGTTCTTCATATGATGAGAGCTTTAAAAATAGGAAAATATTTAACAAGATAATACTTATTTTTAGTCTGTGAAATCATTTCCTGTAAGCTCTGAAGCAGAGATAATTATGTTCCACTACAAAAGGAGTTATTTGCTCTCCTGTTAATGTGGGTAAGAGATTTCCAGGGTTTTTGTAGGTTTCTTATTTTCCTTTAAAAGTGAAAACAAATATATAGCATTTTTTTCTTAGTCCTCTTACTGAGGACTTCTAGCATGCCCTTGGTTATACAAATACATAATTGAGACGTATAGCAGACACTTCACTTAAACACAGATTGGTTGTAGGCATAAGTAATCTGCAATATTTTTATAAATCCTAAACCAGCAAGCATAGTCATATATTCATAAAAAGTGAAGCAGCTAAGAAAACATGGGCAACAATATTTTCAACTAAAATATCATGCAACACGATGGTTTTTGAGTAATTATCAGAGACTGATACAAGGGAAGTATTCTCTTAATCAGAGAGTTTTGATTAATTTAATCACACTTTCACTGTGCCTATGAAAATAATGTCTCCACTGGTGTTCTAATTTGAAACAACAGACTCTTTTTATTATTGAATGAAAGGTACCAGTCATAATGATAGTATTATGGCTGAATATTCAGTCCTGAAAAGTAATATGACAGAAATAATAAAGTTGATTACCAAAAAAGGAAAGTGAACATTCACTGACATATATTCACCTGGCAAAATAATAGTCATCACTAGCCAGTGATGGAGAAAGACATTGTCCAATTAAATATACTGTTTTTGGTTCTGAGTCTGTTGAATGCCAATTATTTTTGTCCCGTTTGTAGATATATCACACATTCGGAGCATAAATACATTTCTTTAAAATAATTTTATATGTCAATATTTATACATTGTTACTATTTACTAGATTATCAACTTTATTTCCCTCCCTATTCTCGACTATGTTTATGTTGTTTTCATGTTATGTCATTAACTATTCACAAAGCTGATTAAAATAAACTGATTCTAAAACAGATTTACAGCTATATGAGTCACTTATTTTTAATCTAGAAAACATAAATACATGCCCTCCAGAAGACACGGTAGTTTATTGACACAAGGAAATGCCGGTGGGATCTTTAAAGTGTATGCAGATCTAAATCCAGGCACATCAAAACCCAGGTGTTGAAATGCTATGATTCCTGGTGCCCCACCTCAAGGCCAGTGGCTGAATTTTGATGTGGAGAAGGTATTAACTAAAATCGAGTGGACATGTAGAAAGCATTAATTTGAATTTGGGATGATGCATGGAGCCAGGAGGCAAACAAAAGGAAGAATTTACCTTCCAGAATCTCTAGACTGGCACAACACTTACCAAGAAATCACATGATTGATTTTGTCCTGTTCTTTTAGCACAGTGAAGGGTAGGGTCCCCAGCACCCAGAAGTAGCTTCCCACTCCTTATCCACGAATACTCTGGTTCCCTGTCAATGGCTTCTAATTCAAACATCCCTAAAGGTCTATTCTAAACAGTATGTTTTTTTTCCAAGTCAAATGATCAGAATATTTCTTCATGCATTCTAAGCACATCTAGCCAGCAATTATGCCAGACACCATGGGAATTTTGTAGTTTGGGCATTCTCATCAAACTTGTAAGCAGTGACACAGCCAACAGACTTCTCATCACTGTGATGGTTAATACTGAGTGTCAACTTGATTGCATTGAAGGATGCAA
Organism: Homo sapiens; assembly: GCF_000001405.40. Classification (NCBI taxonomy): domain Eukaryota; kingdom Metazoa; phylum Chordata; class Mammalia; order Primates; family Hominidae; genus Homo; species Homo sapiens. The sequence continues at coordinate 32,647 of NW_003315968.2, forward strand.
AGTATTGTTCCTGGGTATAATTGTGAGGGTGTTGCCAAAGGAGATTAAATTTGAGTCAGCAGACTGGGAAAGGAAACCCACCCTCAATCTGGGTGGCCACAATCTAATTAGCTGCCAGCGCAGCCAGAATAAAAGCAGGCAGAAGAACCTGAAAAGACTAGACTGGCTTAGCCTCCCAGGCTACATCTTTCTCCCGTGTTGGATGTTTCCTGCTCTCGAACATCACACTCCAAGTTCTTCAGCTTTGGGACTCAGAATGGCTTCCTTGATTCTCAGCTTGCAGACAGCCTATTGTGGGACCTCACCTTGTGATTGTGTTGAGTTAATACTCCTTAATAAATTCCCCTTTATACATATACATTTATCCTATTAATTCTGCCCTCTAGAGAATCCTGACTAATACAATCACCTTCATCATTGTCTCATTTCTGGACTTCAGCTTCTTTTTTTTATCAAAACATGGGAGTTCAAATCTCTATGTCATTGAAGATATTAAGGAAGGTAAAACTATTCTGCCCCAATAGTTAGGCCATTGCCTTCACCAACAGATTGACAATCAGCTGGCTCTTGTCAGCTTTAGCTACACTTATTAGGGCTGCGAAGAATTGCTCTGGGCTCTTGGAAGACTTAACAAATTCACCTTCTCCTTTATCAAGAAACAACTTGCTTTCTATAGCATGTTTATTCCTACTATGAAACCGTGACTAGGAGAGAAAGTCCATAAACATTTTTTTTTCCGAAAAATCTCTCGCTTGGAAAGTGGGACTAGGTATGCTTCCTTTTGGGCAGTTTCAAATTTATTTTTATTTCTGGAAGCATTTTTGACCTGGAAGCATCCTCTGCATGAAAACAGAAGTTCTCAGACAGGATGAAAAGAAAGCAGATAAGTCAGCACTGGGTTTCTCCACTTATGGGCCCAACAAATCTTTCAGGAACATAAAATGCCTGCTTAGCAGGTATTTGAGAGAGAGAGTAATGCTTCCTTCAGGCATAGAAATACCATCAACCTGATCCAGTAGGTTCACAGGGACGATTAACTTGCCTTTATTAACTAAATGAAAACATTTATCTACTAGTTGTTATCACAGTACATTAGAGGAAAGTTGAATTTTGCTTTTATGTTGTCCATTCTAAACTTGTTAGAAAATGACAACTAGGCATTGGAGGAAGCTCCATTATTCACCCAAGAAGACAATATGAATTTGCAGGTTCACAAAAGGGCATTTACCCTGAGTTGATTATTCTACATTGTATACATGTATGAAAATATCACAGGTACTGCAATGTAACCTAAAATTATGTGCAACTGTGATATTTTAATAAAAATCTAAAAATGTCAAAATATCCATAAATATATGCAAGTCTATTATCTACATTATTATTGCTTAAACTATTGGTGATAAAACATTATGTTTGTGTTTGTAATTTTGTCTTTTATTTGCATTCTGTTATGGCCAAATACTTTTGTAAAATATTAGAAATAATGAATTACTAAAATTAAAACACAAATTCATATAAAAAGGCATTTATGCTGAGAATGTCCAATCATTATTACTGTGCACACATATACAGACACACACGCATATGTATTTCAAGTAAGCCTTTAATATGCCCATATAATTCTATTATTTTCTTTTTTTAACTCAAATGGCATATTCATTTGAAATTGTATTTCAATGATATACGATTAATGAAGAGAAGAGATTGTGGATTGCCATATATCCTATCATGTCCCAGAAGGTAGTCATTTGTGACTATTTTCCTGGCATATTTATTATAATGCCAATTTTTACTCTCAGGAGAGTCACAGTTTAGATGATAAATAGATACGGTTCGTTGAAGTTAAGGTGATGCAACTTTCTGAAATGTAACATGGGAGAGGTGGGTGAGTTGGAATTGACCAGATTCTAGGATTTTCTTTTTAAGAGTGTTACATTGGCCACATTCATAGAGAAGTGGGATTTAATAAAACTAAAAAACTTCTGCACAGGAAAAAAAATAGAGTAAAAATGCAGTGCATGAAATGGGAGAAAATATTTGCAAACCATATTATCAAAACCATGTATCATGTCAGGAGTTACTCTCCAAAATATAATATATATAAATATAAATTGCTACATCACAATAGCAAAACAAAAACAAACAATAAATAACCCAATTAGAAAATGGGCAAGGAATTTGAACAGACAATTCTCCAAAGAAGAAATACAAATGGGCAACAAGTAAAAAAAAGGTGCTTAACATCACTAATCATCAGGAAAATGCAAATCAAAACCACAAGAACATATCACCTCACAGCTATCAGGATGATTGTTATTACAAAGAAGGGAAAAAAAAAGTGTTGGTAAGGATGTGGAGAAATTGGAACCCTTTTACACTGTTGGTGGGAATGTAAAATGATGCAGCCACTATGAAAAACCCTGTAAGTTTCTTCAAAAAACTAAAAACAGAACAACCATATAATCCAGCTGTCCCACTTCTGGATATATAGCCAAAGTAATTGAAACCAGGATTTCATAGAGTTAACCCACATTCTCATATTCCTTGCACATTATTCACAATAGTCAAGATACAGAAAAATACCCTGAATATCCGTAAGTGGATGAATATAAATAAGATGTGGTAGACATGATATGGAATATCATTCAGCTTTAACGAAGAAGGAAATTCTGCCCTACATGACAGCATGGGTGAACCTGGAGGACACTGTGCTAAGTGAAATAAGCCAGTTACAGAAAGACGAATACTGCCTAACTCCAGTTATATGAGGAATCTGAAATAAACTGATAAACACAGAATAAGACTATGGTTGTCAAGGGTTTGTGGGAGGAAAAAATGAGAAGTTGCTGTTCAACAGGTATAAAGATTCAGTTATAGAAGATGTGTAAGTTTAAAAGATCTACTGTACAATATTGTGCCTGTTAACAATACTGTTAAACCTAAAAAAAATTGTTGAGGGTACATCTCATGTTAAGTGTTCTTACCACAATAAAAAAAAATTATCTATAAAGACGGTTGAGCCTGGAGCGAAGAAATACATAACAAATCATGTCTGGAAGCATTTAATAAATTAGGGAGTGTCAGAGAGGTATGTGGAGGTAGAGAAGATGATATAGATTTTTTTTTTCTTAATTTGATAATGGAATAATGGTCATGAAATAAGACTAGTGAGAAAGTAAGACAACAAATCTACCTTGCAGTCCTCAGGTGTAAGAGAGAGGGAATAAGGAATACCATTTAGGAGGACTTCAAAAAAAAAAGATTTCCTTGGAGAAGAGCTAAGCTTCAGTTAAGGTAAACTGGCAGAACATAGCAGTTTAAAATAACAGCTTAAGGCCAGGCGCAGTGGCTCACGCCTGTAATCCCAGGCCGCCGTGGCGCGGGGGCTTGTGGGGGGGGTGGTGTCACCTGAGTTCAGGAGTTTGAGACCAGCCTGGTCAACATGTTGAAACCCTCTCTACTAAAAAAATACAAAAATTAGCCGGGCGTGGTGGCGGGCGCCTATAATCCCAGCCACTCAGGAGGATGAGGCAGAAGAATCACTTGAACTCGGGAGGCAGAGGTTGCAGCGAGCGGAGATCGTGCCACTGCACTCCAGCCTGGGAGACAGAGCGAGATTATGTCTCAAAAATACATAAATAAATAAATAAAATGACAATTTAAGATATTACCGTAATTCCTGGATAAGAAGCACCAGTTACAAAGGACAGTAAAAGAATTCTCGCTGTAGGAAGATGGAGATAAAATGAAGGAACAACTAGAAATGGGAGAAGATAGTAAGTGGAAATGCTAATGCAGTGGATCATAGATCTGTATCTCTGCATGTGTGCTTCGTTCTTTGTATTGTACTTTAAGAAGTCACAAATAGTACTCAAGTTGTAAGAATATTAATCATCTTAGCAAAAGAGTCTTGCAGTACTGGGATTTATACACAACAAAGAAACACATGGGGGGGGTTAATCCAGCTGGTATGTATAAGAAGTTTATAAAAATTGAATTAATAATTGTGTAGTTTTGAACACTGTGATAATATAATTTGTACATATATAAGAGAAAATCCGATGAGAATAGAGCCATGACAAGGCTGAATATGTAGCAAACAAGGTGTCTATGATAACAAACTCTACATGTATTAAAATAAAATGATTTCAAACAAAATGAACAGATACAGCCCTGGAAACTTCCCTGAGGGGAGTACTGGCGGGAATCTAGAGGAATCTGAATGAGAACAAAACAGAGAATGATTTATTATTATTATTTTATCTATTTGAATGACTTTGTAGAACCACATATTTGTGTCTGATAACACCAGAGAAACTGAAAAGTTTCTTCCAAGTTTTCCAGTAATGACCATGAACTTAATAAACTATGTAGTGACATACATTTGTATTTTGAACGATTTCTTACTAGTTAATACCATTTCTTGCAGAATGTTGTGTAATGGTTTAGAGAGAAACAGCCTTTTTGTGGCTTCTGCTCGTTGAGCTGGGATTCAAGTGTTCAAGTCATCCAACCTCATTTTCTCTTTCCATGTTATTGCCTATGAAAGATATGTTATTGTTTCTTCTGATGCCCAAATAGCAGATCTATGCATACAGTGCAGTGTTAACTGATTTAGGTAGCTTTCCATCTCAGCATATAAGTATCACTTCAGGGAGTAGGAGAATATGGAGTTCTTTTTGATGGTACATGTGTGTTAAATTGATATTGTTCTGGTAATGGCACACTATAGCCATGAACTCTGTCCATATTACCCTCTTCCATCAAGAATGGATGACACTATTCACAGATAAAAGGGAAAGGATCAAAATCATGATATATTTGGACCCAGTAGTCTCTTGAAAAAGGCAGGGTAGAGGTCAGAACACTTATTTCAATTGAACAAAGTCTACATTTTCGGAATGCTGCTATAAACCAGATGTCATATCAGTAACTGTCTTGAAAGAAGTGTGGAAATGTATAACAGCTATGAAAAGAGATATTCGTATTAAAGGAAATATTTAGAAACATACGCCTGAGATACTATTGTCTTTAGTCTTAAAAAATTGCTTAAGTAAAATTAAAGTAACTAACTACCTAAGTGAGCACAATTTTGAAAGAGAGGGATCTCTATTGTTATGTAATAAATTAAGGGAAAGCACCAAATGGGAACTAGAAGGTAGAAAATGTTATCAATATATTTGAATATTGTAAGTAGAAATAAAAATCAATTAGTCATATTTTAACAAACCAATTAAAGTAAGCCTTAAAGAAAAAAAAGCATGTGTTTAAATTTTTAAAGGCAAGTTTCTGACAAAACTCCCTATATAGAAGGTTATAACTTTTTTTTTAAAAGTCACAATGTAAAACTACATTGACAGCCAAAACACATATATTTTAACATGTAAATAAATCTATTACCCATTTCAACAGTGATATACCAAAGAAAGAACTCATTAGCCATTTTTCATAGACTAGTCAAACATGTTAAAATGCTATCATTCCGTATTTGCAAGTTGGCCTGTAGAAATATACTGAAGATTTTTTTAAAAGAAGATTGAATTTAATTCAAATAACTCATTTTAATTTAAATGAAACTAATATAAATCAATCATCATAAAACAGATTGAAATTTCACTGTTAACCATGCTCATAATTCAACTTACATTTAATTTAGAAGAAATAATAGTCAAATTTGTGGTTATTTAAAACAATCTAGAGTTTAATATAGCGTAGAATGCATAAAAATTTTTTTCTTTCACGCTCATTATATGACTAAACAAAATTTATACAGAACATTTCTTTAGTTCTTTATTTTCTTTTCGTGCAATTTTCATATTTGTTTCATTGATTTGTACTGCATTTACCAAAGGATAAGTTTTTTTAGAAGTGCAAACCATTTACCATTAGTTTTGGTATCAAGAAAATTAAATCTCACCCCCTTCACTGTACTTGTATTCATTTACCCACAGTTGAAATTGAAGTAAAAAATTACAATGTTGCAAGCCAGGCATGGCGGTGCATGCCTGTAGATCCAGCTACTCTGGAGTCTGAGGCAGGAGACTTAAGTTGAGGAGTTTGGAGCTGTAGCTCCTATGATTGTGCCTGTAAAAAGCCACTCCACTCCAACCTGGACAATATCGCAAGAATCTGTGTCAAAATATCACAGATACAATTCCTTAAAAATAATTTACTATGTCATGATTTCTCCACATTTTACATAAGACTTAGAGCTACCTTAAGTTAAAGGTAGCAAACAGTTATATCATAACTCATTTTCATGAAGCTTTAGGACTTCATCCTTTTATCACTGCAATAATTTTAAGTTATAAGTCATTTTTTGAATAATATAGTATATTTGCTTATTGATTTTTAAAATGCACGCTACTTGTAGATTTCTTCTTGCATTAGAAATGAACGATCTGGTGACCACTGGATGTGGTAAATGAGGAAAACTTCAAAAGTAACTAATAAGTAATAGATTAACATAATAATAATAAAACCTTCCCCATTTCCAAATTCCAGTGGAAATACTTACAAACACAGACCAAACATAAATGTTTAACTATGTCTATGCATGTGTAAATTTGGATAAACACTAGTAAAAATATTGATAAAAGATCATATATTCAGAAATTGGAGTTGTTTCTACATCTTGATTAAACTAACAGGGGATACTGTTGACTCTTTCAAAAATAACAGTTTTAAAATAAGGAGCCTACATTTCCAGTTTAAGACAATGAACTGATCAAATGGTTCAAAACATCAGTAACAATTATTGCATACAAAAAGGAATATTTTGAAAACGTATGGAATAGAGGTGACAGCAATTGTCCGGAGTTCCATAAATTTCTGGAAAACAGGAGAAATTTGGCGTCCCATGATCAATAAACTCATGCTGAGTGGGCCCCATTTTAGAACATGTAAAGGAGAAGAATCTGTGTTGGAACTGGATAATAAGGGTTGTAGAAATCAAGATAATTGACTTATGGACTGTTACAAAATTTGAGGTACCCTAGGTTTAGATTGGAAAATTATTTTATAAGAACTATTAAGATATCTAACTTGGATTGGTATATTTCTGCTGGAAAGTCAATACCCATGCTGTATTCTCCTTATTATGACACGTGTTTGTTTGTGACCCAATTTACATCTTTAAAATAATCATTATAACATGTTTAGGCACATGTACCTGCTGAAAATGAACCATATGAAGGAGGAAGAATTAGCAGAGGAATGGAGTGATAGCCAGTACTGTCAGCCTTCAGTATCCATGGGGGATTGGTTCCAGGAACCTACAGATACCAAAATCCATGGATGCTCAAATCTCTTATATAAAATATTGTAGTAGTTACATTTAACCTATGCACATCATCCTGTATACTTTAAATCATCTCTAGATTACTCATAACCAATACAATATAAGTGCCATGTAAACACTTATTATACTGTATTTTGTATTTTTTATTGTTATATTTTTATTTTTTTTCAAATATGATCTCTCCAGTGTTGGTGGAATCTGCAAATTCAGATGCCGTGAGTACAGAGAGTTGATTTTACTTCCATGAATCAATAGATTAATATTCATGTTCAAAACAAGTAGTCTTATAGATTTGAAGAGAATGCAAAGCAGAGCTGGAAAGTGAATGCCTCTTTGTTGTGAGTCATCATTATTTGTCCAATATAGGTTAGTAATTTGAGTTTATTTTATAGTTTTTCTCTGCTATCCTCAGACATCAGACTCTTAATTCTTATCTCCTTTTAATTATTACAGGAGAAATATTTACAGCTTTGCTAAAGAGCTTGTGAATCATAGTGTTTGCTGAAAGCTCTAATTCAGGTTGACTACAGCGTTGACATTTTGCAAGTTAGAAATTTTCTAACTTACTTTAATTATTATAATTATTATTGTATCTTTCAAAATCAATAGATCATGCATAACTTAAAGTTACAAAAATATTAATGTAAAACAATGTATAATTAATTTATCTATGAGATAATTTGGTGGGACTGATAAGATGTGAAAAAAACGGTGTGGGACACATTTCCTCAGTGTGTATGATGGGGTGCCAACATAAAAGACCTATTATTATTGAACTAAGATATAGATATTAAATATATTATTTGCAAGCACTAAAATTACCGCTAGAAGGTACAAACACCTTTGACATCAGGGCTAAAATAGCTGAAGCTTACCTTTGAAAAATCAATAAATGCAATAAAAAGATATTTATCATTGTGATACTTAGAAGTATTCATCCAATGTGCTAAACATATAAAAAGTCAAAAGTGTTCCTCCGTGTAAGGAAAAGGGTAAAGAATTAAACATTGAAAACAGGTTTTTTGGCCCTTGTTTAAAATAGTTTTTATATTTTACTTTTATTATTTATAAAAATATAGGAAAAATCCAGATATTAAAAGGTACATAAAAGTCTGTCCAGGTCACTGTGTAGATAAAAGAAATGAGAAATGTAAAGTTGATACTACTGAGAATGAGATAGAAATAGGAGAATTTTTAAAAACCCATACATACTGATTGTACATTTTGCTGAAGTATACGTGATATTTTGATACATGTATACAATGGGTAATGATCAAATCAGAGTAATTGGGATATTCATTAACTCAAACATTTATCTTTTTATTCTATTAGGAATATTCCAAATCTCCTCTGGCAAAAAGAGTAGAAATATTAATTTTTGTTTATTACATATATTTTTTATACCTTCAAAAATATTTATTAAATAAAATTCCAAATATGGTATTAAATTAGATTTAAACATTCAAAATCACCAAAAAAATTTACAATTGTATAACTAAAGGTACAAATTAGTTCTATAAATACAAAAAGTATGGCAAACAATTTTGTAATATTTCCACCCTGATCTAGAATTCCATACCTCCCACATCTCTCATTATCTTTTTTCTTAAGGTTGTTTTGGTTTTTCAAACAGCCCACATAACTTTTTCAGGATTATTTTTTTAATTGAATAAACATCTAAAGTGACAGGAACTTCCAAAAGTATAATGCTTTATCTAGAAAGGTAATTTCCATCTCTTTGAAAAATGTTCATGTGTTTAATTATGAAACTTGTAAAACATTCAGAAATATACTAAAAATAATGCAGCATCCAATCATGTAACAATTATGCGGATTTCAGGAAATGTTAATATTAGATTATATTTTCTCTTTCCTATTAAGGTATATCTACTATCTTGTATTTCTTGAGTACTTATCCATATATAATTTTAAACTTTTATACAAATGTTTTCTCATATATAACATATAATACTATAATTTATAAAATCTATTTTGCTGTACATATCATTTTGAAACTTACTTTTTTTGTTGTTCATCATGGTTTTCAAACATTTACCTATTTTTACTTACTAAGAGCTAGCTCTCTCCTCTTGGTTAATTCTGTGTAACACATCATTCTATGAATATATCACAAGTTGTTTATCAATTATTTTCCCAAAATAGCTTTAGATTGCTTCTCGTGTTTTGCTGTTTTCAAGCTTACATACTACTCTTACTCTATGCATCTCTTTGGGCCTGTAGTAGAAAATGAGAATTAAAATATTGTAACAAATACCAAGTTTCTTTTCTAAGTTGCTGCAATAATTTACACTTCCAGCATCCACAAGACTGCACACTTCCAACATGTATGCTACACGAAGGTAATATCAAATCAGTATGAAATGGAATTCCTTTGTTGTATTTTGCATTTTTCTAATTTGCAGTGATGTACAAATTTTTATATGTTATTAGCAACTTGGGTTTTGTCTTAGGAATTTCTAGTCCAAAATGTACTTGTTCAACTATGTTTTTTTTACTGAGTTCTTTGAATGTATATTTATAGGATACTTAATATATTGATGACATCAATAGCTATTGAAATGTTTATGTTGAAAACATTGCCATTTCCAGTTTATCCTTTAATTAGTTCATAACTTCATTATAATATTCTTTTAATATTTTTATATAGCAAGGATTTTTCTTATATGATCACACTGCATTAGAAATACATCAATATCCTGGTATTAAAATACATTTCATCTCAAAATTTTTGCTTTTCATATTTAAGTCTTTAAACTATGTGGAATTGATGTCCAGTGTGAATTTTCACTACAATTTTATCATACATATTTGGTAGCTATCCTAGCATTATCCTTTCTACCTTTGTTTTCCTAGCTGTTGTGTAGTGCAAAGTGTATTATCTAAAAATTATGCACATGTGTGCTCATATGTCTAGGTTTTTTATTCTGACTGACCTTTTTGTCTATCAAAAAAATTTTCATCAATTATAATTATATGGGTGTTGTGAGATTAGTGCACAGTACCTATAAACTTGTTTAACACTGGAGTTTTTTGTGGGTATGTGCATGTATGTGTGTGTGTATACATGTGTATGTAATGTTTATCTATGTGTGTGTATATACATATACATACTATATGTGTATATGTATATACTATATGTATATATAGTCTTTGTCCATTTTGTGCTGCTGTAATAGAATAACCTAAGACTGGGTTATTTATAAGGAAAGAAATTTATTTGGCCCACTATTTTGGTGGCTGAAAAGTTTAAGATTGGGCAGCAGCATCTGGTGAGGGCCTCATGCTGCCTCCACACACGGAGGGAACCCGAAAGGAAGTGGGTTTGTGCAAAGAGGTCGCATAGTAATGGAGGAAGCAAGAGAGAGAAACCAAGAAAGACAGACTTTTGTTTTTTGAACAACCAGCTCTCTCAAAAGCTAATCCACTCCCATGTAAGTGAGAAATCAATCCTCTTAAAGTGTTTCTCTAGTAATTCTGTTATCATGTATTATCATTTTATGATAGTTTTGAGATTCTTACCATTAGTATTTATTAATAATAACTGATATTTTTTACATTCATGTTCAAAATTTGTCTTGAATACCTTGTGTCATTGTGTGCTTTGTCTACGTTTTAAAATTTAAATATTGAGTTACTTTATGTTGAGTTACATTATGACTCAACTCAGAGAACTAGCATTTAGTGTTGTAGATCTTTTCTTGATTTTTATTTTATTAATTTTTCATTACATTCTTTGTTTTCATACTTTTGTATTTTTGATTTGGCTAAAACATTTTTTCCTGCTTTCTGAAATAGTTACTTAACTTATTGATACTAAGTTGTTTAAAACATTTGCATTTACAGAAAAAATACTTACTTATTGCTACAGATTTATCCCTTAAGAATAGTATATTTTTTAATTTTTAAAATTTTCATGGCTGTGCATGGTGACTCACACCTATAATCTTAGCACTTTGGGAGGCTGAGGAGGGCAGATCCAGATCACTTGAGGTCAGGAGTTTGAGACCAGCCTGGCCAATATGTTGAAACCCCGTCTCTAAAAATACAAAAATTCGCCAGGTTTGTTGGTATGTGCTGGTAATCCCAGCTACTCTGGAGGCTGAGGCAGGAGACTCACTTGAATCCTGGAGGCAGAGTTTGCAGTGAATTGAGACTGTGCCACTGCACTCCAGCCTGGGCAACAGAGTGAGACTCTGTCTCAAAATAAATTTAAAAAAAAGCTTAAACTTTTAATGATTTTAATTTTAAATAAAACAATTTAAATAAAACATTAAACTTTTGAATTTTAGAATTTGAAATCATAAGTTTTTATTGACAACAAAGTATGCAGATAATTATACAGCTTATTTTGTTACTTTGAGCCTTCTTTTGAGACTTTGTATGTGAGCAAATTGAAGCAGACTCTGTATGCTTATAGAAAATTGATATACTTCCATTAGTGAATGATTTGATTTATATTTATAATTTGTTAATATTTTACAAATTGTCTATATCCTTATTGCTTTGTGCTTTGATGTGGTTTGGATATGTGTCCCTAACCAAATCTCATGTTGAATTTTAATCTCTAAAGTTGGAGGTGGGGGCCTGGTGAAAGCTGATTGGATCATGGGGATGGATTTCCCCTTTTGGTGCTTTTCTGGAGACAGATTTCTCACAAGATCTGGTTGTTTAAAAGTATGTGGCACCTCCACCTTCTCTCTCTTTCTCCTGCCCCCAGGCATGTGAAGTGCCAGCTCCCCACTTCACCCTCCACCACGATTGTAAATATTCTGAGACCTCCCCAGAAGCTGAGCAGATGCCAGCATCATGCTTCCTGTGCATTCTGTGGAATCATGAGCCAATTAAACCCTGTTTCTTTATAAATGGCCCAGTCTAAGGTATTTCTTTTTAGCAATGCAAAATTGAACTAATAGAGAAAATTGGTACCGAGCAGTGGGGCATTGCTATAAAGATGCGTGAAAATGTGGAAGTAGCTTTGGAACTGGGTAACAGGAGGAGGTTGGAACAATGTGGAGCGCTCAGAAAAAAGACAAGAAGATGAGGGAAAGTATGGAACTTCCTAAAGACTTGTTAATTGCTGTGACTGAAATGCTAATAGTGATATGGACAGTGAAAGCCAGGCTGAGGAGGTCTCAGGTGAAAATGTGAAACTTATTGGGAACTGGAGTAAAGGTCACTTTTGCTATGCATTAGCAAAGAGGTTGGAGGCATTTTACCCCTGCCCTTGGAATTTGTGGAAGTTTGAACTTAAGAGTGATGATTTAAGGTCTCTGACAGAATAAATTTCTAAGCAGCAAGGAGTTCAAGATGTGTCCTGGCTGCTTCTAACTGACTATGTTCCTATGAGTGAGCAAAGAAATGAATTGAAACTAGTACGTATTTTTAAAAGTGAAGCAGAGCCTAAAAGTTTGGAACATTTGCAACCGGGCCATATGTTAGAAAAGGAAACTCCACTTTCTGGGGAATAATTCAAACAGGCTTCAGAAATTTGCATAGCTAAAAAGAAGGCAAGTGCTGATAGCCAAGACAACGGGGAAAAATCCTCAAAGGCATCTCAGAGACCTTTGTCGCAGATCTTCCCATCACAGGCCTAGAGGACTATGAAGGAAAAATGGTTTCCTGTGCCAGAGCCAGGCCCAGGGCTCTGCTGCCCTGTACAGCACTAGGACACCTTTCCCTGCATCCTAGCCACTCCAACTCGAAGACACCAACTGTCTCTAAAAGGAACCCAGATACAGCTTGGGCTGCTGCTTCAAAGGATGAAAGCTGTAAGCCTTGGTGGCTTTGACATAATTTTAAGCCTGTGTGGTGCATGCAGTGCAAGAGTTGAGGTTTGGAAACCTCTTGCTAGATTTCAAAGGATGTATGGAAAGCCTGAATGTCCAGGCAGAAGCCTGCTGCATGGGTGGAGTCCTCATGGAAAACTTTTATTAGGGCAGCACAGAGAAGGAATGTGAGGTTGAAGCCCCCCCACACACAGTATACCCATTGGAACACTGCCTACTGGAGCTGCAAGAAGAGGGTCACCATTGTCAAGACCCTCTGAATAGGAGATCCACCAATAGCTTGTACCATGTGCCTAGAAAAGCCACAGACACTCAATGCTAGCCCATGAGAGCAACCATGGGACCTGAACCCTGCAAAGCCACAGGACAGAGCTGTCCAAGGCCTTGGGAACCCACCCCTTGCACCAATATATCCCGCATGTGAGACATGGAGTCAAAGAAGATTATTTCGGAGCTTGAAGATTTAATGACTACCTGCAGTCAGTTTCACACTTGCACAGGCCCTGTAGCCCCTTTATTTGGCTGATTTCTCCCTTTTGGAAAGAGAGTATTTACCTAATTCCTAAACCTGCATTGTATCGTGGGAGTAACTAACTTTTTTTTTTATTTTACAGGCTCATAGGTGGAAGGACCTTGCTTTGTCTCAGATGAGACTTGGGACTCTGGACATCTGAGTTAATGCTGGATTAAGACTTTGGGGAACTGGTGGGAAGGCAAGGTTGTATTTTGAAATATGAGAAGGGCATGAGATTCAGGAGGGACCAGGGGAAGAATAATATGGTTTGGATTTGTGTCCCCACCCAAATCTCATGTTGAATTGTAATCTCTAATGTTGGAGGTGGGGCCTGGTAGGAGGGCACTGGATCATGGGGGTGAATTTCCCCCTTTGGTGCTATTATTATGATAAAGTTCTAACAAGATTTGGCTGTTTGAAAAAGTGTATGGTACCTCCCTGGAACCATAAGCCAATTAAACTTCTTTTCTTTATAAATTACCCAGTCTCTGGTAGTTCTTCATAGCAATGCAAGAATGGACAAATACATGCTTACTTAGTCTATCACTTTTAGTGAGAATTAGGCTAACCTATCTCACCACAATTTAGGATATATCAGTATGCCTTTAAATAGTTGTCCATTTATTTTCTTTATATATTTTGGGGCAATATTGTTTAATGAATAATGTACCAAGAGTCCAACCCTGTCCTTGCATAGTTCTCATTTTTTCTTTAATTGATGATCTACTAGCAGTTATAATGTTTTCATTTTTGGTAATGTTGGGAGGAATATTGACTTAAAAAATACAATCTATTGTATATCTGTTATAAATGAAAATACAGCCTATCAATATTTCTGGGATGCAGCTAAAGCTGTGCTTAAAGAAAAATCTATAGTCCTATAGGTTTCTGTTACACAAAATTAAAATCTAAAAACAGTAACCTCAGTACCTAAGAATTAGAAAAAAGAAGAGTGAATTAAATACAAAATAAGCAGAGGAAGAATAGAAAAGAGTAGAAACCAATAAAATAGAGATAGGGTGGACAATTTAGAAAGTCAATGAAATTAATCTATGCCTATTTTAATACAGGAATAAAAGATTAATTAACTGATCAATACAAAAAGAGAAACTATGAATTACAGAATCAATAATAAGAGAGAACCCATGGTTGTATGCTAAGTGTAATGATGTTAAAATGTTAATAAATACTTTAAAACTTTCTTGATACTTTTATGAATGTTTAAGAGCTTTATACTTCATACTTTAAATAATTAAAAATATGTATAAAATGGACAAGTTACTGGTACTTAAAAATTTGAAAATGTCTGTTGGTGGGTGTGGGGCTAGGGGAGGGAGAGCATTAGGAGAAATATCTAATTCTGCACATGTACCCCAGAACTTAAAGTATAATTTAAAGAAATTAGAAAATGTATAGGATCCTATATATAATATACAGATTGAATAAAAAAATACACATTGTTTTCACAAACTACTCAAAATTCAAATGACTTCATTGGTAAACTTTACTAAATATTTAGGAAAAATAATACCAATGGCAGAAAAGATTTATCTATCAGAAAATAAGAGAAGGAAATACATCCTGATTTGTTGTTTAATGTTTTTACTTTGCAATAGTTTTTCTCATAAAAACTTGCAACAATAGTACAAAGATTTTTCATGTATTCTTCATCTAGCTCCTCCAATGATCATGTCTTACAGGACAACAGTACATTGTCAAAAACAAAAAATTGACATTGACATGTAATTAAACTCAGATAAACATGGTTGGATATTTGGATTTCACCAATTTTTACATGCATTCCTTTTTAAAAATTATTATTGTTGTTGTTATCATTATTATTTTAAATTGAGACAAAGTCTTGTTCTGTTTTCCAGGCTGCAGTGCAGTGGTGCAATCATGGCTCACTGCAGCCTCCAACTCCTGGGCTCAAGTGGTCCTCTACCTCAGCTTTCTGAGTAGCTGGGACTACAGGTATGCACCACCAAGGCCAGCTAATTTTTTTAAAAAATTTATTTTATAGAGATGTGGTCTCCCTATGTTGACTAGGCTGGTTATAAACTCCTGCCTCAAGCAATCCTCCCACCTCTGTCTCCGAAAGTGTTAGGATTACAGGCATGAGTTTCCATGCCTGACTAAAAACTATGTTTGAGTAGTATTTTATAAATTTTTTACATGTAGAATTTCATCAGCACATTCATGATACAAAGTTGTTCCATAACTACAGAGAAATTTCCTCATGTTGCACCTTAATAGTCATATGCTTACCTCAAACCTAACCTTTGACAACTACTGAACTGTTCATGACTATCATTTTGTTAGAGAAAATTAATAAATAGTATCACATATAATCTAGCCTTTGGCAATGGGCTTTTTTCTCAGCATAATGTCCGTAAGCTATTCGTGTTATTTACATTAATGTTGGTTTTAACAGTAAGTTATAATTCAAAAATTTAAGACAAGCATATCTTTATCCACATATTTATCTATTCCTTACTCTTTTATCTTTTCTGCTATTTCAGACTCATTTTGTTATCATTTTCTTTTAGTTTGTCAAATGTTTTTTGAGGCAGACAATGCTGTCAAAGTATTGTAGTTTTCTCTTTTTTCTAAGAATGTCTTTGTTTCACCTCCATTACTCAAGAATACTTTTACTCGGTATAGAAATATAGTTTATTGGTAATTTTCTTTCAGCACTTGAAAGCAATTGTGCTGCTTCCTTCTGACATCCATATCAAAATTCAATACCATTTGAATTGTTCTCCTATAGATAATGCATTGTGTCTCTCCAAATGCTTTCACCATTTTTTTCTGTCTTTAGTTTCCACAGTTTTGACTATGATATCCTTGGGCATAGATTTATTTGTCTTTACACAAATAAAACTATTGTCAGTAACCTTCCTGGATCTGTAAGCTTATGTTTTTCCCAAAGTTTGAGAGGTGTTCAACCATTATTTCTTTAAACAGTTTTCCAGGCCACATTTCCTTCTTTTCTTTTGCAGTTTCTGATGTTTTGTTACTATCTCAGATGTCCTGTTGTTCTGTTCATCCTTTTCTTACTTTTTTATTTTTCTCTCTTGTTCATCCTGAATGATTTCTATTAATATAAATTCAAATTCACTCTTTTTTTCTCCTATTAATTTTATCCTGCTATTGAGCCACTTAGTAAGATTTATATTTTGGTTATTATATTTTTCAGTTCTAAAATTTGTATGATTTTGTCTTACATCTTATATCACTTTGCTGAGACATTCTATTTTTCCATTTATTCAAGAATGTTTTACAATATTTGTCCAACAATTCCAATATTTGTGACTTCTTCACATTGATATTTGTTGATTATCTTTTGTCATTTAAGCTGAGATTTCCACGGTGTTTGATATGGTGAGTAATTTTGACGCTATCCTAGACATTTTATATATTATAAGAATCTATTTATATCTTCTAATTTAGAAAATAGTCATTATACTTAGGATGAATGCATATCCTGGCCTACTTTTTTTGGTGATGGTTTAAGTAAGATTTTAATTTGAACAGCCTTTGGAATGATACTCTGTTCTGCCACAATTGTACATTAAGCACTTGACAAACTCCAGCTCAGTCTCTATAGAGCCTGCTGAGGAGGGAGTGGGACACAGCCTTGTTACTAAAGGATTCTGAAGGGAGTGTTTTACCTATAGACCCTGTTTGAAAGAGTTGCCTTCTCATTACTATAGTGTAGAATAGAACACCGGGCTTTGTGCATAGACTTGGCATCACTGGTTCACCATCTCATTACTGCAGTGTGTGGGGAGCAGTCAAGTTTCAGCCCATAGACTTGTCTGGGAAGCAGCACAGCCTCATCGTTGTAGTCCATTTGTTTTGCTACAAAATACCCCTGGAATGCAGAGAGCAGAGGATTGAAGCATAGCTGAGCCGCAAGCCCCAAAATCCTATGGTTACTTGGACTTCTCTTTTGAAACCATTCTGCCTTTGAAACTCTGGCACTCTGGGGCTGCAATGGGCATAGCAGCCTCAATGGTCTCAGAAATGCCGTCAGGGCCATTCTCTCATTATCTTGATGAGTAGCATCTGGCTTCCTTCTAATAAGACTAGTCTCCTTATGAAATGGTCACTTGGCTAAGCTCTGAATTTTCTTTCCTAAACATGCTTTTTTATTCTTTGTATGACTAGGCTGAGAATATTTACATTATGCTTCCCTTTTAATTATGAGTTCTATCTTTATATAGTTTCTCTCATCTAACATTCTACTATTGGTCAAGTTTAATCAATGGAAGTCACTCAGCACCATGAGCACTCTGCTTAGATATTTCTTTTGCCAGATATCCTAGTTCATTAACAGCAAGTTCTCCCTCAAAAAAGCATTAGAACATGAACACAATTCGACCAAGTTTATTGACATTGAACAAGGTTTAACTTTCCTTCAGTTTCTTATACCTTGTTCCTCACTTCCATCTAAGACTTAATCAGAATGGCCTTTAGTTTTCAAATTTCTACCAACATTGTGTTCATGATCACTTATTTCATTTTATTTTTTGAGACAGAGTCTTACTCTGTTGCCCAGGCTGGAGTGCCGTGGCGCAATCTTGGCTCACTGCAAACTCCACCTCCTAGGTTCACGTCATTCTCTTGCCTCAGCCTCCTGAGTAGCTGGGACTGCAGGCGCCCACCATCTTGCCCGGCTAATTTTTTGTATTTTTAGTAGAGACGGGGTTTCACCGTGTTAGCCAGGATGGTCTGGATCTCCTGACCTCGTGATCTGCCCGCCTCGGCCTCCCAAAGTGCTGGGATTACAGATGTGAGCCACCGCGGCTGGCCCCATGATCACTTAGATATCACTAAGACTAAGCCACTTTTAAAAAATTAGGACAGACATCTTTATTGAAATGTGTCTTTCGGTATATGTTAGCATACTATATATACACATACATATATACTCTTTAACACAACTCATGTATTGCCACCATTCATTTAACCAATAAATTAAAACTAAAATGATGGGAGGGAAGGGAAGGGGAACTAATGACAAACTTTTCATCTTATATCTGGTAAGAAATTGTGAATTTCTCAGAATTTCCCTGGAGAAAACCTGTGACCAGAGAATCTTTGAAATAAAATATATAAATCCCTGCCCCCTACCAAAAATATTTCCAAAAGATGGAGTTATTACAATAAGTGTGCTTCTCAGAACAGGAGCATTCATTCCACTCCCTACTCTTGCTTCTGCACCTCTGGCTTCAAGACAGTCTGTCCCTCAGTAGGGCAGTGAGGTTTATATGGGCACGTAGGCTCAGTGCACCTTGGGCTCTGGGGGTTAAGGAGCAGGCTACAGTATGGGAGCCGAGTGAGCAACACTCCTCTGAGGTTATGTCTGGTACATCATCTGACTAAGTATGAGAGTTTTCCAGGTCCCTGTGGATGCTCTCAGGCTGGGCCAGACTGATGTCCCAGAGTCTGCTGGCCAGGCAGTCTTTCTGTTCACATCTTTGGTGTCTGTTGAGGGATCCTCTTCACCACCTCCATCACCACTACCTTCTTCTTTGTCCAGTTTCTTCTGAGTCTTCACCAAAATCACTCTTAGATGTTCCATTCACAGCAATACATTACAGGCCAAACTCATATCAGGTCAGCATTCACATCAAAATACACCTTATTTCTTGATACCAGTTTCTATCTTAATTGATTTGTGCTGCTCTACCAAAATATAACAGACTGGGTAAGTTATCAATAATAGAAATTATTTCTCCCATTTCTGGAAAGTTCAAGATCAATACCAGGCATCTGGTGTCTGATGAGGGCCTTCTTGATGCATCCTTACATGTCAGAAGGCAGAAGGGCTACAAGAAGGCCAAACTCTTCCTCAAGCCTTTTTGAGAATACTAAATCTCATTCATGAAGGGAGAGCCTTCATGACTTAACCTTATCTCCCAAAAGGCCCCAGGGCTCAATATTGCCACCAGGAGAATTAAGTTCAATATTAACTTCAGAAGGGATGACATCATTCACACCATAGCTCTCATTATTGTAGGGCAGAGTTGGAAGATAGGGCTATGACCACAGGCTCTGCCAGAGCAGGGGTATGGGGTAAAAACACCAAACCCAGAAACAACTTTCTCTGACAGGAAAAAAAAAATAGCAAAGCAATACTTACTGCTACATTTTTCAAGCATGCAAAAATAAAACATCTAGGGACAACTTACAAGTTTGCAGGAAATTATCATTTTTAAGAAAAGTTTCATTTTGTCTTCTTAAAAAGAGAAAATTAAAGCTCCTATGTCAATTCAAACAATACAAACTAACAGGCAGAAAAAGAACCCAGATGTGAGAAGGAATGCAAATCACCACACTAAGAAGCTGAGAAATTACTCAGCAGGATCCAAAAATAATTAGGATCTGAGTGAACATATTGGTAAAATATTAAAAGTACTTTGAAAACTTTTAAGTGACATTGAGTTTAGAAGGAAATTTCTTCTTGGATAGTATGATGAGACTTTTTTGAAAATAGATCACCAGTAGGGGCTGACAGCTGTTGCAACATTTATTTTTCTTTTCTTTTTTTAAAAAAATTAAACAGAGGTAAAAAGTGAGGTTTCTGTAAAGATGCGTCCTAATAATAGAAGTATTTCATTGTTTTGGGGTACTGTCTACACTGGAATTCAAGGACAGAAAAACCAGAAATATATGACACAAACATGCTTCTTTATTCAAATTCTAGACTTATAAAAACCAAATAAACAAAAACAAAGTAAAGCAAACCAACAAACAAACAAAAAAACTTCAAAGTATGGGTTCTTCTGGGCAGAGTTCAAGAAATTTGCTGCTGCTTCCAATTTAACAGAAAGCTTTTTTTAAAAAAGGACTCTTTTACTTGGTGGAGCATTAAAATGAACAATAATTCCTATCTAGGTATATGAACAACTACAAAGATTTCAGCTATACTAAAATCTTCCAATTTTAGTGGAAGAATGATCTTTCAATTTTGTTAGTGGATTAAAAATCATAGTGATATTATAACTTGAACTAATATTTTTAAAACATGTGTTAACATGTATTTCCTTATTAATGAAGATTTAAAACTATAAGTTTTTTTTTTCCAATTTTTAGGAGAGGCAAAAATTCAAAAAAATATCCAGTAAGAAACCAGAGGAAAAAAATCAACTGGATAGAGCAGAACTATGTGTCCTAAGCTGGGGGAAATAAAAATAACGTGAAGTATTGGCTGGTAAAAATAGTCTACAGATAGTTATTGAAGAACCTAAGAAAACCCATTATTGACCCCAACAGACAAAAGACAATGAAACTGCAATGGCGTTAATTGGTACTTAAAAGCTTTGGTGCTCTTCTGAACATTGAAGTTAAAAAATTTAAATACACTATAACCCCTGCATGCTTAACTTTCCTTCCTCCCAATTCCACTCTGCTTCCTCCACACTTCCAAATCTCCAAATTGTGCAGTCACCTAAAATATTTACCAGGTCAATTTTTCTTTATCTCTTCTCAGGATACCTTTGCTGATATTGCCAGGAAAGCTAGATAGAGTGACCTCAACACTGCCTTTCTAAATAATGTTGCTTCTTTTGTCCTCCTGAAGCCTCTACAAACATGTTGCCAGAGGTACTTCACGCTAAGACTTCACTGCTAAGGTAGGGAGAATCTGGTGTCAACTTGTCTAGTTAAGTGAAAGGAGAGGTGGCCCTAAATTTCAAATATATCTGTGTGAACACTGTTTATATTTCTGTTTGTAAAAGATTGCAATCGGAGACATAGAATGGGATTCATCTTGGGTAGCTGGTGGATCATTCCACAAACTGTCATAACCCCAAATTCATCGCATATGATATGTCAACATTTTGGCAGGTGCTTAGGCTTCTTCTTGACAAGGAACCCTTTCTCATTTCCCATGCATCCATATATTCCTGTGTTCTGTAATCAGCTTGTTGACACAAGACTAGTGCTTCATTTCAAACTTTCATTACCTTAGCTTTATTGTCTTTGAAGCTGCCTAATAGCCATTTGTTTTTAAAACCTACGCTAACTAACACAGAATAAAAATATCTCATTCTTTTAGGTTACTGCACCCAAAAACTTTGATTATAATTTCTGGGTTATGATTAATAGTCAGTATAATTCAACTGGATTTAATAACCAGAAATATCTAAGAAGCAAATACCTTTTTTTTTTTTTTGCTTGCTGTAAGGCCTGATAAGATAGCATTGCAGCACAAATCAGTATGAATATTCTGAAGCTGTTTATATATACAAAACTTAATCAACTGTTTATTGTGTGTGAGAAGTTTATAACATTTTGTCTGCAAGATTCTTCGGGGCAGGCATAATATCAATTTTTATAATTGTGAAATGTACAAAGCCTGCCACAAGGTAGTACAAATAAAGTTTTCAAAACCTAAGTTGCTACCAGTATTAGTTTTAATAAGTTCATACCAATGAATTGACGTTCGCTTTGAGCTGAGTTCAGATAATTATCAATGATGAGCCAAATACAGTGCATTATAGGCTATGGATTTATTTTTTCAACATAACAAGACAATTGGGGGTAGAATAATGGATCCCAGTTAGTCATCATTGGCTTCAGTGCTTGTTGACATATTACCAATCTGATTTTATCTATCCATCCTCATTTTGAAGCAGATTCTCTATTATTACTTTATATGATTTTTCTCCATGTCCAAAATTTTCTAATTACCTCATAAACATATTTTTACACTCATTTTTTTCCAGGTTACAAACTGATGCACACATTGCATGTGGTTGCTATGTCTTTTAATTTTCTTCTAATTAATACGATTTCCCACTTTATAATCTTCATGTCACTTTTTGTGCAAGAAACTTATCTTAGATTCCTAATTTGGTAATTTGGGTCATTGTGGTGCCCCACATATTTTCATCCTCATGATTCTGCGAAATAACATTTGGACATAAAGGCTATGTTATAGTCAGGCCCAATTCATTGAGAAAAATAAATGTGTAGACCATCTTGTAACCTTTCTGTTGTAGCATCCAGTAGCCATATACTGTCTTATCATCTTGATTTCAGTGCTGCTAATATGAACCAGTAAGTTTAGATTTGGTCAGCTTCATTTGCTGAAAATTTATCCATTAATATTTCACCCACAAGTTTAACAATGACTGACAATAGTTGCCTAGATATGTTATTTAATTAACATTTGCAAAGCATAACTAATGTTATCATTTTTAAAAAATTTAATACTTAGAAGTCTTCAGTAAAGAAATTTCTTTCCTCTATTTAATTATTTTGATAAGGAAGGTAGAATAAATTATTGTTTCTTTCTCTGTATGAATAGCCAGAATAATTTACTGGACTCCTAAGAATCCCCGAAAGTGACAAATTAGTTTTTATAAGTATAATTAAAATATCTTAGGTTTTTTACATGTATATTTGATGCCTCTCAATCCATTATAGGCATTAATATTTGCCGTTCAAATTCTGTGAGGCAGATTTTTTTAGATGGCTCGCTCTGAGATTCCTACATCCTGATATACATGTACCATATGATCGCCTCCCCTTGGGTGTGGCTGAGACCTGTAAACACATGGAATAGCAAACACAATGTGACAAATGGAATTTTGCAGATGTAATTAAGTTCCATAACTAGTTGACTGAGTTCAATCCTAAACAAGTTTAGCAAGTTAGCAAACAATCCTAGCAACTTTCTGCCTAGGCATCTAGGTGGTCTTCAGCATCCTTTAAAATGCAGGGTGAAGGAAGACATGCCTATACAGCACACCTGCAGAATAAGCACATTGTGGATGCTGCTAAGACTTACCACATACACCCGCTGGAGTGGCAGCTGAACCACTCCTGAGCCTGCTTGAGCCACAGCTGGGGTGGCCAAGGCACTCTGCACTGGAATATGGGGAGAAAAGCTCCAAGGCAGCCCTGGGCAACAAAACTTGTGGAGGGCATCCAAGGCCTCTCTCTGGAAACCAGTTCACCTTTCTAGAGCTCTGGGCCAGTGGTGGGAGGGGCAACCCCAAAATCTCTGAAATTGCCTTTGGATCCTTTCTGTCATCATCTTGATGAATATTGGGGAGCTCACAAATCCTAAAAACACTGAAAATTTTCCACCTACCTAGAAACACTTGAAGAATTCTCAGCATAAAAACTGGCATTGATCACCAAATAAACAACTGTATAATTATGACAAAATGATGTGGATAATGATGGTGGAATATTGCATATGATGCTCTGACAATTTACGTAAAATATAACCATCAATATATAAAGAAGAATAGAGGAGGACTATGGAAAGTAGAATAAGCTGTTGATTTTCTGACATAGACTTAGTATAAAAGATGTTTTAAATTTGATGTTAAATGAGGAAAAGCAGGAACAAAAGAAACTAGATAATTCAATCTTACTCAAAGTAGGAAAACAACAGACTGTGTTAAAAGCAAGAATGATATGGATATTATATTAAGGTATTAGGATATATGCAACAATCAAAACAAATGTAGAACATCTCTAAATTCCAAACAAAATATAAAAAATGAAAATATGAAAATCCCAAAAATTAAAGCAATAAAAAGAGAGCACACAGTGACAAAGAGTTATATAAATGCATTAAGGAAAACAAAACAAAGATCAAACACCTTTTTTGTCCTATTAATCAAGTATGTGAGTTTTTTACTCATGTACTTTTAAAAAGTTCAGACTGGTTAGCCAAGTAAATTCAAAGTCTGTGATAAAGTCTGGAAAATTACAGCCAGGTGTGGTGGCTCACAGCTACAATTCTAGCATTTTGGGAGGCTGAGGTGGGTGGATCGCTTAAGCCCAGGAGTTAGAGACCAGCCCATGCAACATGGTGAAACCCCGTCTCTACAAAAAATACAAAAATTAGCTGAGCGTGGTGGTGCATGCCGGTGGTCCCAACTACTCAGGAGGCTGAGGCAGGTGGATCATGGCTGCAGTGAGCCATGATGGTGTCACTGTACTCCAGCCTGGGCAACAGAGCAAGACCCTGTCTCAAAGAAAATAATTTTCGAAATGTTTTCTAGTTCTGTGAAGAGTGATGGTGGTATTTTGATGGGAATTGCGTTGAATTTATGGATTGCTTTTGGCAGTATGGTCATTTTCACAATGTTGATCCTTCCCATCCATGAGCATGGGATGTGCTTCCATTTGTTTGTGTCATCTATGATTTTCTTCATCAGTGTTTTCTGGTTTTCCTTGTAGAGGACTTTCACCTCCTTGGTTAGGTATATTTATAAGTATTTTATTTTATTTTATTGCAGCTATTGTGAAAGGAGTTGAGTTCTTGATTTAGTTCTCAACTTGACCACTGTTGGGGTATAGGGGAGCTATTGATTTGTGTACATTGATTTGTATCTTAAAACTTTGCTGAATTCTTTATCAGTTACAGGAGCTTTTTGGAGGATTCTTTATGGTTTTCTGGGTATGCAGTCATGTCATCAGCAGACAGCGACAATTTGACTTCCTCTTTACCAATTTGGATGCCTTTTGTCTCTTTCTCTTGTCTGATTGCTTTGGCTAGGACTTCTGGTAATATGTTGAATGGAGGTGGTGAAAATGACATCCTTGTCTTGTTCTGGTTCTCATGTGGAATGCTTTCAAACTTTTCCCCATTTAGTATTATGTTGGCTGTCGGTTAGATGGTTTTTATTACATTGAGGTATGTCCCTTGTATGCAGATTTTGCTGAGAGTTTTAATCATAAAGGATGATGGATTTATATGGAATCTACAATGAACTTAAACAAATTAGCAAAAAAATACAAAACAAACAAAACAATCATGTCAAAAAGTGGGCTAAGGACATGAATACACAATTCTTGAAAGAAGATATACAGATGCCCAACAAAAATGGAACATCACTAAGGATCAGGAAAATGCAAATCAAAACCACAATGCAATGCCACTTTACTCCTGCAAGAATGGCCATAATAAAAAAAATAAAAAAATAATAATACATGTTGGTGTGGATGTGGTGAAAAGGGAACACTGCTGCTGGGAATGTAAACCAGTACAACCACTATGGAAAACTGTGTGGAGTTTCCTTAAAGAACTAAAAGTAGAAGTATCATTTGATTTAGCAATCCCACTGCTGGGTATCTACCTGGAGGAAGAGAAGTCATTATATGAAAAGATACTTGCACACGTATGTTTATAGCAGCACAATTCACAATTGTAAAAATGTGGAACCAACCCAAATGCCCATCAATCCATGAGTGGATAAAGAAACTGTGGTATATATACATTATGGAATACGACTCAGCCAATTAGCTATCATAATATAAAAAATTGTATAAGAATATTATTAAAAAGATATAAAAACATAAACACCACTGTAAAAAGAGTATGTCTTTTTGAGATCTGTGAGTTGTATCTTACTTGCAAGCAAGCAAGTTTGTTTCATAGACATTTGCAGGAGACAGAGAGTTGAAGGTCAGAATGAAAAATCTATTCATTATGTACAGCAAGCAGCAGCAAGACTGTCACTGTGTTCTCATGCTGGACCTCAAAACCACAATTTTCACAAGGTAAAATGATACATACAAACATTGTTAAAGGGTCAGCTGTATATCAAACTCTGAACCCCAAAACAGACAATACATCTTTTAATATGTTATATTATTAAAACTGATTGCATATTAGGTGACAAAAAAACAGAATGAGATCTTGTAAAATATATAAAGAGCAATTCAAACTGTTATGTAATAAAACTAAAAATTAACCAAATTTGAAAACAAACAGCGATTTCATTTGGAAAGTAAAACTTATAAAAAGCCATTAAATAGCCCTTGGGCCAAAAAAAGGCATTTCAAAATTTGTTAATGTTATGAAGGTAAAAGTAAAAATGTCACGTTAGAACCAATTGGAATATAGCTGAAACAATTTTCAGGGAAATATTAATAACCTATATAATGCTTACCTAAATTCAAATTTTATAATGAAAATGTAATTCAACCTAATCATTAAAAAAGAGAACAAAGTAAATCAAACCAAAAGTTAATTATGTTAAAAATTAATCAAATATGATGGCCAAAATTAATGAAACAGAAAATACTAAAATACTTAGGCATGAAGCAAACAAAAAAGTTGCAAAATCTTTCTCACTTGTTTTTAAATATTATTTGTTTATTTAGTTTGAGATGTGTTCTTGCTCGGTTTCCCAGGCTGGTCTTGAAATCCTTGGCTCAAGAGATTCTCAGCCTCTCATGTAACAGGAATTACAGACATGAGCCACAATGCCTGACTCTAAAATTACAAAATTTTAATAAATAAATACACAATACACTCCTAAAAAGAATAAATGTAGAATTTTAAAAATAAAATAAAACACATCTAGAGAACATTAACAATGTAAAGAAAAATCAGTTCTCACTCCTAATAATAAATAACACCACTTTTTCTACTGTGTGCACACTCTTCTTACTGAACCAACACACACACACTTACATATATATATGAAAAGGAAATGGAAAAACAGGGTATTGGAAACAGGAGTGAAAACTTTCCTTGTTGTAAAGTACCAAAGACCTTGTCTGAATTTTTTTGTTCTAGGGCTTTGTGGAATGATGAAATTAAGGATGTTGAACTAGAATATCTGTAGAAAAAAATTTAAGTAGCAAAGCATTAAGGCTTCTCTGTGGTTACTTTTGACCTCATAGAATGAAATGTTTGAGCAAATAAATGACTTAAAGATGGAATTTATAATTAAAAGGGATGCAGAGTAGAAAGATTGGAAAATTTGCAGTAGCCCCCCAGTATTTAGTTAGAAGCATAAGAAGAAATCTATTTCATGGTTGTGATGGTTCCTCACACATCTGTCAACTTGTGCAGGTTTTATATGCACAGTTCAGTTCATCCACTGCAGTTCATGGAAACTCATTTTCACTTAGTTTGCAAAATACGTGTCTCTTTTTTTTAAATCAAAGTTGCTCTTTTACTGTAAGGAAAGTCAAGAAAGTTAAAAACACCACAGAAGCACCTCTGTCTTTCACATTAATCATTACTATTTAATTCACTAAGCTTTTGAATAATTCTAACCCCAAATTTACTATTATTTTGGCTAAACATCCCTTCTTAAAGCTCAGCTATTTCATTGGATATTATTTTTATCTATCTCAAATATATGCATCCTGCAGAACATTTTTAATTGTCTATGCATGCAGGTTAGTGTGTATAGTTTTATGTGTGCATGTATATATTTATCAATGTTTAATCCTTTTTTTAAACACTGTCATTGAGTAGGTTTCAAAGTTGATTATTTTCACTCAATATATTCAAAGTATTAGCTCCCTAACATTTAGCTTAATGAATCTGTACTTAGTCTAACTAGTTTTTCTTTCTGATTTATCCATATATTCTCTTTAACTGTATTTCAAACTTTCTCTTGTGTTTTTTGGCGTTTTGTAGAATTACTGTAAGCATCTGGGGTTTTTTTTCTTAATCCTACTTAGTTTTTACTTAATTTGTATTTTTAAACCTTCTAGATTTCAAGATTTGTTCCTTTCAATAATTAAATAAAATGCAAAACCATTTTTCCTGATATTTTCTTTCTCTTTTTTTCTATTATCTGCTTTTAATTCATTTTATAATTCTGTTATATTTTTATTGAATGAACATTAAACATATTTTAGATTATCTCACTCTATTATAAATTTTATGGGAGTTTAGCTCCCATTTATAAATGAGAAAATGTGATACTTGGTGTTCTGTTTCTGCATTAATGTGCTTAAGATAATGGCCTCCAGCTGCATCAGTGTTGTAGCAAAGGACATGATTTTGTTATTTTGTTATGGCTGCATAATATTCTGTGGTGTATATATACCACATTCTCTTCATCCAGTCCATTGTTGATGCAAACTAGGCTATTTCTATGTCTTTGCAATTGTGGATAATGCTGCAATAAACAAATGAATGCAGGTGTCTTTTTTGGTAGAGTTATTTATTTTCCTCTGGGTATATACCCATTGATGGGATTCCTGTCAATTGGTGCTTTTATTTTCTACTCTTTCAGAAATCTCCATAACTGCTTTTCACAGGGGCTGAACTAATTTATCACATTTCCACCAAAAGCGTATAAGCATTCCCTTTACTCTGCAGCCTCATCAACATCTGTTATTTTTTGACTTTTTGGTAATAGCCATTCTGACTCATGTGAGACGATATCTCATTTTGGTTCTGATTTGCATTTCTCTGATGACTAGCATTGTGGAGCATTTTTTCCTGTATTTCTTGACCACTTGTATGTCTTCTTTTAAGCAGTGTCATTCATATCCCTTGCACATTTTTAATAGGGTTTTTTTTTCTTCTTGATTTATTTAAGTTTCTTATAGATTCTGGATATTAGTCCTTGGTAAAGTGCATAGTTTGCAAATATTTTCTTCAATTTCACAAATTGTCTGTTACTCTATTGACAGCTTATTTTGCTATGCAGAGGCTCTTTAATCAGATTCAACTTGTCAATTTTTGTTCTTATTGCCATTGCTTTTGAGGATTTAGTTATAAATTATTTGTCTAGGCTCATGTCCAGAATATTTTCTACATTTTGTTTTCACATTTTAATGTTTGAAGTCTTACATTTAAGTCTTTAATCCATATTAATTTAAGTATATGGTGAGAGGTAGCTGCATATTGTTAGCTAGTATGCTAGCACAGTTTTTTACCAGACAGTACTTTTCCCCTTCCTTATTTTGCTTGCTTTGTAAAAGATCAGTTGGTTGTAGGTGTGTGACTTTATTTCTGAGTTCTCTATTCTGTTTCATTGGTCTCTGTATCTATTTTTGTACAGTACCATGCTATTATGATTAGTGTAGCCTTATAGTATAGATTGAAGTCAAGTAATGTGATGACTCAGGCTTTGTTCTTTTTAGTTAGAATTGCTTTGGATATTCAGGCTCATTTTTTGTTTGTTCCATATGGATTTTAAAATAGTTTTGTTCTAATTCTGTGAAAAATAACATTGACAATTTGCTAGGAATAGCATTGAATCTGTAGATTGCTTTGGGCAGTATGAAAAATTTAATGACATTCATTCTTCCAATCCATGAACATGGAATGTTTTTCCATTTCTTTGTGTCATTTATGATTTCTTTGAGCAATGTTTTATAGTTCTTTTTGTACAGATCTTTCACCTCCTTGATTAGATGCATACTTAAACATTTTACATTTTTGTGGCTATTGTAAATGGGACTGTGCTCTTGATTTGGCACAAAGCTTGAACAATATTGGTAGAGAAAAATACTACTGTTTTTTGCATGCAAATTCTGTGTCCTGAAAGTTTACTAAAGTCATTTATCAGGTCTTGGAGGCTTTTGGTGGTGTCTTTAGGGTTTTCTGCATAAAGAATCATATGATTAATGAAGAGAGATAATTTGACTTCCTCTTTTCCTATCTGGATTCCTTTTGTTTCTTTCTCTTGCCCAGTTGCTCTGGTGAGGCTTCCAGTACTGTGATGAATAAGAGTGGTGAGAGTAAATATCCTTGTCTTTTTCCAGTTCTTAGGGGAAATGATTCCAGCTTTTCCCCATTCAGTATGATATTGGCTGTGGGTTTGTTACAGATGGTTGTTATTATTTTGAAGTATGTTCTTTGAGGCCTAATTTTTTGAGGGTCTTTATTATGAATGGATTTTGAATTTTATAGAATGTTTCTTCTGTGTGTACTGAGATGATCATGTGGTTTTTGTTTTCAATATTATTTATTTGGTGAATCACATTTATCGACTTGTATATGTTGAACCAACCTTCTATCCCAGGAATGAAGCTTACTTTATCTAGATAAATTAATTATTTGGATTGCTGGTGGATTCTGTTTCCTAGTATTCTGTTAGGGATTTTTGCAACTATGTTTATGATAAATATTGGCATGTAATTTTCATATTTTGTTGTGTCTTTGCTAGATTTTGGTATCAGGATGATACTGGTTTCGTAAAATGAGTTAAGGAGAAATCCCTCCTCTTTGGTTTTTTTTTTTTTTTTTGGAGTAGCTTCTGTGGGTTTGGTACAAATTTTTTGTACATCGGGTAGAATTCAGCCATGAATTTGTCTTTTCCAGAACTTTTAATGGTTGGTAGTTTTTTAAATTACTGACTCAATTTCAGGACTTGCTATTGATTGGTTCAGGTTGCTTTAAACTCACAACAGTAGAAAAAGAAGAAACAAGGGCATTACATATTCAATAAGAAGAATGAACTATTCTAACTATATATGCAGCCAACATAGGAACACCCAGATTCATAAAATAATTACTCTAAATCTAGGAAAAGCCTTAGAAAGCCAAACAATAATAGTGGAGGACTTCAACACCACATCTACAGCATTAGACAGATCAGCAAGGCAGAATACTAACAGAGAAATTCTGGACTTAAATTTGACGCTGGAACAATTAGACCTAATAGACCTCTATAGAATACTCTACCCAACAACCAAAGAATGTACATTTTTGTCATCTGCACATGGAATATACTCTATGATCAACTACATGCTTGGCCATAAAGCAAGTCTCAATAAATTCAAGAAAATATAAACCATATTATTAAGCATATTCTCAAACCACAGTGAAATACAAATAGAAACCAATACCAAGAAAAACTCTCAAAACTACACAATTATGTAGAAACTAAGTAACTTTTGGTTAAACAAAGAATTAACACAGAAATAAAAAATTCTTTGAAACAAATGAAAATAGAGACAGAACATACCAAAATCTCTGGGATACAGCTAAAGCAGTCTTAAGAGGAGAGTTTGTAGCACTAAATACCTACATCAAGAAGATAAAAGACCTCAGACTAACAATCTAACATCACACCTAAAGGAACTAGAAAAACAAGATCAAACTAATCCTAAAGCTAGCAGAAGAAAAGTAATACCTGAATCAGAGCAGAACTAAATGAAATTGTACCCTAAACACCATATAAAGTTCAATAAAATTAAAAGTAGGTTCTTTGAAAGGATAAACATGGTAGATGGACTGCGAGCTAGATTAACATAGAAAAAAGAGATGATCCAAATAAGCACAATCAGAAATCACAAAGGAGACATTACAACTGACCCCACAGAAATACAAAAGATCCTCAGAGACTATTATGAATGCCTCTGTGCACACAAATCTGTAGAAAATGGAGAAATTCTTGAAAGCATACAATCACCCAAGATTGAGTCAGAAAGAAAATGCACAAATCTCAATTGTCCAGCTTTACTAATTTTTTAGACTCATATACCCAATTTCTTACACCCAGATCAAAACATGAAAGCTTTTCAGCCCCCAGAATGTTACCTTGTGTTCTTTCTCTGTCAATATCTGAACAAAGAAAACCATTTTTCTGAATTCTATTGTTATAGATTAGTTTTTTCAGGTCTTGACCTTTATATAACTAGATCAAACAATATGATTATCATTAATTTTACTAAAAATGTGTCATAAATATTAATTTTTTATCTTTTTGTCTGAATTTTTTTTGCTTATTATTATGCCTGAGATAATCTATTTTGTTGTATTTAGCAGTGTTTCATTATTTTGGATTGTTCTTTAGTATCTATTGTACAATTTAACAAAATTTATTTAATGTAATGTACATATATAAATGTACATATATATGTATCAGAGTAATAAATGCATACACAAACACACACACACATCACTCAGAGCATTATGACTACAGGTCATTATGAGAACTACTACTAATTCAAGATCATAAATTCCTCATGAGATTCTTTTCTGCAAATAACATCTGGTTTGGAACAACAACAAAATTACTGTCCCCTTCTATGTGAAGTTTATTGTTAATTATAAGTTTATCTCTTTGGGTTTCAAGCTACATATGGACATAGGCAATTGGAGTGCACATCCTAGTTTTTCCCCTTTGTCTCAGACCACTTCTAGCTACCCACATGGAAGCTAATATTCTTGGTCATTCAGCAGATATATTCAGACCAAATTTCAGCTTTGGCACTCCACTATCTCACAAGGTTCTGATTTTTACTTAATCTATGACTTTTATAATTTAATTTTAAGGAAAATCAGTGTTTAAGTTGTAAATACAATTGTATTTTATTTCAGTTGGGAGTGTTTACCTCGGAAGTATATCTAAAATATTGCTGATATTAGAATCTTTAATGACTATTTACAGAAAACTTTCAATGTATTGAGAAATAAAAAGTAAAGGATTAAAAATTACTTTTGGTAGATATAGAAGGGAAATAAACATGAAACCCAAAATATAATTTAATATTGTCATATTTGTTATATTTGATCTATCAATGACTTCGCAGAAGAACACCCATACATAGTATTAAGAGAGAATATATGGTGAATGGATAAGATTATGGCTATTTTATGAAATAAAATATTTACCAAAACATGTTATAGTCATATATAGTAAAGGAGAGATCTCAAAATAACACTTTCTTTTTCTTATGTTTTGTATAGAATGTGCTTATGTATAAAACATGCATATACATTTGCATGTACTTTAAGAAGTCATGTTTTTATGCATTCTTTTTCATTTAGTTACATGAGTGGAATAAAAAATATTTAATTATATATTATTAATTATGGTAAAGATTCATTTTTCTTTTCATCAAATATGCTCTAAAACTAAATTTGTAATGGTATCAAAATAAAAGTAGAAAAAAGTGTTTCTTCTCCCTTCTTCATTGTTCTTTGATTTTAAATGTTTTTCTTTAAGATTGAGTTTATATTTCCCTATAAGCATACTGCAACAAGAGATGAAGCAGCAATATGATCATACTATTGATCAAATCTTTTGATCAAATCTATTGTGTTTCTGTTTTTCCTTTTTTGCAAAGTTCTTACTCTCCCATGACTTCATGTAAATTGATTTAAGTATATTGCCATACAAGATAGTTCAAATGGAGATAAATATTGCAGTGTTTCTCTTGACATACCTAATGCCTTTTTTTAAGGACTGCTTCAAGGTGTACAAATAATGCTATCTATATAAATGTTAAACTATACCTAATTCTACTTTTAAATATAGTGTAATGATTTTGCAATAAGATATCAAGTAGACAGTTTTAAAAATGTTAACTGCACATAATTTCTAAAATAATTGTAACACGTAGAGTTAACCATCACTGAAATAACTGTTGGATCTAAGCCTACTTGTTTTATATTAGTACCAAACAATAAAGAAATGCCAAGATTATTATTGGTTTTAATATAAAAATGTGTAGCAAGTATTAATTTTTCATTATTTTAGTGGTGCTTTCTTAGAAATGCTTGCTCCCATTGTATACGAGGACCATATCTTGGTGGAGCGCAGCGGCTTTTGCCTGTAATCCCAACACTTTCTCTGAAGATGAGAGCAGAGGATTGCTTGAGCCCAGAAGTTCAAGACCAGCCTGGGCAAGAGAGGAAAACCCCCATCTCAAAAAAAAAAAAAAAAAAAAAAATTAAAACATTGGCTGGCCACAAAGGTATGTGGCTGTAGTCCCACCTACTCAGGAGGCTGAGGTGGGAGAATCCCTTGAGCTCAGGAGTTTCAGAATGCAGTACACTGTGATTACATCACTGCACTTAAACCTGGATAGGAGAGGAAGACCCTGTCTTTCTCTCAAAAAAATTATATTTTGGTATAAAGACAGATTATTTTAGATCAAAATCTATTGAAAAATTGATTTTGCATAATTTTATTGTTTGCTGGATGTACTGTTGTTTTCCCACAAATCATTAATGTGGAAAAAAATAAATATGCATTTTTTTTCTAACTGAACCTAATGTATATAGTAAGCAGCTCTCTCTCCTTGTAGAAGTCTGAATGTTATTTAGTACATGTTTCTCAATCTACTCAATAATTTGTATTACTCTCACCCTGCTCTCTCTGGATTTGCATTTAAAATCTAGTTTATGTGATTGGTTACATGGCATCAATGCATGCAATTAATTTTAGTCTTATTCTTGATGTGGCTCAATTTATGTTTGCCATTTTAATATTTTTTCATTATATTTAATGTCTTTTTATGCCTTTGTTTTCCTTTACTATCTTCTTTTTCATTAAATATTTTATATAGTAACATTTAGTATCATTTCTAGAATAACATTTGAGTATCATTTACATTTTTAATTTTTTAATTTTAAATTATCATAGAAACATAATAGTTGTATTTATTCATAGGGTACATGTGATGTTTTGATACAAGCATTCAATGTGTAATGATCAAATTAGAGTAATGAGGATTTCCATCACCTCATTAGACATTAAGGTTGATTCCATACCTTGGCTATTGTGTATAGTGCTACAATAAACATGGGAGTGCAGATATCTCTTCGAGGTTCTGCTTTTCTTCATTTTGGATATACGCAGAGGAGTGAGGTTGTTATTGTCAGTGTCTGTTTCCCTGCATTATGCAGCCACTAAGGTCTCTGGTCAGGTTTTTTAAAGATTATTTTCACTTTTATTATAAATTGCCAGGTGTTGCCACTTATTTAGTAAAGCTTAGGGTTCAGCCAGTGATCAGATGTTGTGATTGAATCCTGTGAGCCAAAAAGGCACCAACCCTTTGCCAATACAAGTGTATTGGATGATAAGTTCTTTCAAGACTTAGACAATTTACAAGATTGTGTCATCATTTTTTCCATCTTTTACATTTACTAGATCTTGTGTTCAGTAAAGGATGAACTACTCACTAAGTTTCTTTGTTATGTATCCTGAGCTTGTGTGAAGCCTTTTACATACACACAGGTGTCCAACAAAGGATAGAACTATATCATGGCTCTCTTGTCTTCTTAGTTGCCTAACATCTCCCTGTTAAATTTTTGGCAGGTCTGCTAAACTTTTGCTTTTCTCAACCAGTATTGAGATCTTAACTTACCTGCAAAGTTAGCCTTCCATGATTATTTCCACGGGTATCACTAGTTTTGTTTACAGTATTTCTGAGCATGGGATTTTTCCATCCTCCGCCTTCCACTTAGACTACCCTACATGCAAGGCTGCCATCCCTATTTTCCTGCTCTACTTAAATATAAACCATGGATCAGAGAGTGGGTGGACATATAAGCAGCAAAAGGTGAAAATACCTCAGACTCCCAATGGTTTTACAGATGTTCAAGAGATAATCATAAGCAAATGCATTTTAATGTTGGGTATGCCTTAGGTCTTTTTCAGAAACATCAAATGATAGTTTTTGAGAATCTTATTTAGTTTAATTATAATTTTTTGGAAAAAAGATGCACATTGACCTCAATTTTGCCATACTATAATTTTGTTGTATACATTTTTATTATCCTGTATTTTTTCCTTTACATTCTCTAGAAATATCAAATGTACCTTCATCATCAATAGTACCTATATTTCCATCATCTTCACAGCTCTTGGTGTCTAATATATCTAATATTTATTGATGTATTCTGAGAGTATAGAAAATAAATTACAATTTAGCTATGCAAATTAACCAGCTATTTCTGGCAAAATATTAAAAATAGTGTCTGAAATAAATCATCTTAGGCAACTCATATTTGTATCTAGAAAATTTATATCTAAATAACTTCAGGAAACAGGAGACAGTTTGAAAATGAGAAGCACTGACCCAAAGCAATACATGTTGGTCATAAAATACCAGTGAGTGATTTTGTTAACAATTCTAGTAGCATAATTTTAAAATGTACTTGAAAGATGATAATATACCTTTGTGCCATTATTCTTATACAATAAATGATGTAATGAACAACACCAACTACTATCATTGTAAGAGAAAATTCAGTTAAACAAATGCTTTCCAAAATGGCTTTTTGACTCAACTTAACCGTGATAAATTTGGGTTCTCTTAATGTTGTAAGAGTTTTGACACAAATCAGCATACTCAAACTGAGTAACCTGAGA
The DNA here is from genome assembly GCF_000001405.40 of Homo sapiens. Classification (NCBI taxonomy): domain Eukaryota; kingdom Metazoa; phylum Chordata; class Mammalia; order Primates; family Hominidae; genus Homo; species Homo sapiens. The sequence continues at coordinate 69,112 of NW_003315968.2, forward strand.
ATCATTAATAAAAGGGGATTAAGATAATAGCAGAGTACAGGGAAACTGCAAGGACAGTTTAGTAACTCAGTAGTAGGCCTAAAGGTTAAGACAGGGGTAAGTTACCTAAACTACATAAAGATATCTGCATGGTGAAAGCCTTCTGTCTGGAATTCTGAATTTTCATGGAGAGAGCCAGGAACACGAATACAGAAAAAAAGAAGAGAACTTATATAAAAATTCCAATTTTCTACTAAATAATGGTACATATTATGTATATATATATTTTGAGTAAAACATGTTAATACATGTAAACATATATCATTCAGGGGGAAAAGTGAAATGAATTTTAATTAATAAATTTTATTTTCTTGAAGCGCTTTCAGGTTCACAGCAAAATTGAGTACAGAGGGTTCCCATATGCACCTTGTCCCCACAGATACACAACCTACATGACTATCAACATGCTATACCACCATAGTAAATTTATCACAATCAAGAAATCAATGTTGGCACATTATTTTTACATACAGTTTATAGTTTGTATTAGGAGTCACTCTTAGTTTTGTACATTCTATTCATTTTGACAAATGTATATTAACATGTTTCCATCATTGTTTCATCACACAGAACAGTTTCTCTTCCCTAAAAATCCTGTTCTCTGCCTATTTATCCCTCCCTTTACCCTAACCCATGGTAGTTTTTTAATGTCTTCATAGTTTCACCTTTTCTCGAATGCCTTATAGTTGGAGTCATATAGTATGTAGCCTTTTTAGATTGATTCCATTCACTTAATTAAATGCATTAAAATTTTCTCCATGCCATTTGATATTTTGACAGCTCATTTCTTTTGGCACTGAATAATACTCCATTGCCTGGAGGTACCAGGATTTCTTTATCTATTCACCTGCTGAAGGACATCCTGATTGCTTCCAAGTTTTGGCAATTGTGAATAAAGCTGCTATAAACATTTATATGCAGATTTTGTGTAGAGATAAGTTTTCAATTCATTTTTGTAAATACCAAGGAGCATGATTGGTGGATCATATGGTTAGAACACGTTTAGTTTTACAAGACACTTTCAAAATGTCTTCAAAGGTAGCCGTATCATTTTGTATACCCACCATCAATAATTGAGAGTTCTTGTTGCTTCACATCCCGATCAGCAATTAGTGTTTTCAGTGTTTTGGATTTTAGTCATTCTAATAGATGTGTAGTGGTATCTTGTTTGTTTGTTTTTCTTTAATTTGAAATTCCCTAATGCCATATTATGTTAAGCATAGTTTCATATGTTTACTTGTGATCTGTATGTCTTGTTTGGTGAGGTGACTGTTCAGAGTGTTTGCTCATTTATTAATTAGTCTCGTCTTTTTTTATTGTTAAGAGGGTTTTTCTTTTGTATATTTTGAATAGCAGTCCTTTAACAGATGTGTCTTTTTCAAATATTTTTTTTTCCCAGATTGTGGCTTGTCTTACTCTCTTGAGAAATGTTGTTTCTAAAATTTCAAACATCTGCAGCTCTATTTTCTCAAAATAATAATCTATTCTAGTTATGAACATTATTTTTCATTCTATTCTCCAATAGCCAATGTCCAACTCATTATTATTTTTACCTAGGACTAGTTCTTTAAATCAAGATCTGTAGAGAAAAGTATTTTGAAGTCAAAGAGAGCTCCTTTTTTTCTGTTTATTATGCTTGGGTTCTTAACAGAAATAAAAGAACAATATTCAACACAAATGCTCCCTGGTGATCTTTTGAAATAATTTTAGAAATTCCTTTAAAATAACACGTTAAAGAAAAAAAATCACATTTTAATACTCACTGAAGACTCTAAAATTCCTTTTTTGGCTTCAAAATTATATGTGTAAATGGCAAGAATAGTTTCTGAAAATGACAAATGGATATGTTTTAGGGGTCATATATATATATATATATATACACACTATGTTTGGAGGCATGAAAACATTTATTTGTAAGCAAATATATGCAAGAATAATTTTGTGACGTTTAACTACCTTCGTGTTCAATAAACCACAGCAATTACTCCATCACAAGATTTAATAATTATAGTACAAGTTAAAGGTTCTGTATGGTTAATTAACCACTAAATGAATAATAGCATTTTTTAAAAATTTCAAACCTTTCTGAGGTAACAGAATATAAACAGTAACCCGCACCCCCCGCAATTTTCCTAAAAATATTTTGTCTGAATTTGTACAAATAAACATAAAATGTAAACCTAGGTGAAGTTTTTCATTGTGAGCTATCTATTATATATTCTTGCCATTCTGCAGTCATCATAGTGTTAAATTCTAGGAAATATGAGTTGTTATTTATTTTCTAAAAATGCTTATTTATGATTCTTAATTACTTTTGTGTTTTATTATATAATAGCTTCCCATGGTTATGTTATCTGTACGTAGTGAAATGTGATCAAAAAAGTTTGATTACAATACAAATGTAAAATGTGATATAGATCTTGTTTAACTGAACATTTTAATGTGTTATTTGTTATAGAAATAAAAGTCAAAGCTAATGGGGATAGCATTATATAGACTTAGTAGGATGAGATAAACCAAATGGACTACTTAAGCTGTAGCCTATATCAATGTTGTACATTAAATAGTATATAACTTTTATGTGACTGATATAGTTTGTATGTTCTTACCCTCCAAATGTTGAAATGGGTTCACCAATGTTGGACGTGGGCCTAGTGGGTGGTTTTTGTGTCATGAGAGCAGATCCCTCATGAGTGGCTTGGTCTTACCATTGTAATTGGTCCCACCATTGTAATGAGTTCCCATGAGATCTGGTTGTTAAAAAGTCTGGAGACCTCCCTCTTCTCTCTCTTGCTTCCTCTCCCACCATGTATCATGCCTGCTCCCCTTCATATTGTGTCATGAGTAAAAGCTTCCTGAGGCCTCACCTGAAGCTGAAGACATGCTTGTGCCATGGTTATACAGCCTGCAGAATCATGAGCCAAATAAACCCGTTTGGCTATGAATTTCCCAGCTTCATGTATTCCTTTATAGCAACACAAAATGGACTAATACAGCTACTACATGTGATGGTTGTTTATCAGTCTAAAATTCACTGACCTATTGACAGCATCTGCAAACCTTGAGGTTTTTCTTCTCTCTCCCTTTCACCATTTTGTTTCCAAGAGACAACATTCTCTTGCTTAACCTTAATATTTACAGCCCATACTCTTCCCTCACACTAGTCTCTTTACTCTTTATCTCTGTGAATCCTAATAGTCAAGTGTCTCATCAGTAATTCCATATACGATGACTCCCTAATTGATCTCATTTTCTCTTGTTGCTTTATAAAGCATCTGTATGCTGATTTCATTGAAAGGTAATTCTCCATGAATATTTTCACCTTTAGTCATAGTCTGGGCTTTCTGAGAAAACAGCATTGACAAATGTGGCTTAAAGATGATTCAGTAGTAAACATGTTATGTGTGGTAGGTGGAATAATACCAAAAATGTCAGTTTGCTATTCTTGGTAATTTGTAAATTTTTTGTATTACATAACAAAAGGAAAATTAAAATGAGATTGACATTACTAATCAGATGATCTCAAAATATAGAGATTATCCTGTACTATTTGGGTGGGCTCAGTATAATCTTGAGGGTCTGTAAATGTTGAAATGGTTTGAATTTATGTCCCCACCCAAATCTCATGTTGAATTGTAATCCCCAGTGTTGAAGGAGGGGCCTGGTCTTAGGAAAATGGATCTTGGGGGAGAATTTCCCCTTTGCTATTCTCATGATAGTGAGTGAGTTCTCACAAGATCTCTTTCTTTAAAGTATGTAGCTACACCTCCTCCCACAACCTTCACTCTCTTCCTCCTACTTCAGCCATGTAGGATGTGCCTGCTTCCCCTTCACCTTTTACCATGACTAAATCTTCTGAGGTCTCCTTAGCCATGCTTCCTGTACGGTCTGTGGAATTGTCACCCAATTGAACTTCTTTTTCTAAATATATACATGACCAAGCCTCAGGTAGTCCTTTATAGCAATGCAAGAATAAACTAATATAGAAAATTTGTACTGGGAAGTGAGGCATTGCTATAGCGATACCAGAAAATGTGGTAGTAGCTTTGGAACTAGGTAACAAGCAGTAGTTGGAACAGTTTGGAGGGCTCAGAAGAAGACAGGAGGATGAGCGAAAGTCTGGAACTTCCTAGAGACTTCTTAAATTGTTGTGACCAAAATGTTGATAGTGCTATGGATGATGAATTCCAAGCTAACTTGGTCTCAGATGGAGATGAAGAACTTACTGGGAATTAGAGTAAAGATCACTTTTGTTATATATTAGCAAAGAGACTGGTGACATAGTGCCCTGCTCTAGGGATCTGTGAACTTGAGAGAGATGGTTTAGGGTATCTGGCAGAATAAATTTTTAAGCAGCAAAGCATTCAAAAAGTGTCTTGGCTTCTTCTAACAGCATATGCTCATATCCATGAGCAAAGAGATGATCTGAAACTGGAACTTATATTTAATAAATAAGCAGAGTCTAAAAGTTTGGCAAATTAACAGCATGACCATTTGCTAGAAAATAAAAACCTATATTCTGGGGAGGAATTCAAGCTTGCCTGAGAAATTTGCATAAGTAAAGAGGAGCCAAATGTTAATTACCAAGAAAATGGGGAAAATGCCTCAAAGGCATTTCAGAGACCTTCAGGGAAGCCTCTACTATCACAGACCTGGAGGCCTAAGTGGGAAGAATCATTTTGTGGGCTGGGCCCAGAGACACACTGCCCTGTGCAACCTTAGGAAACTGCTCCTTATGTCCCAACCACTCTAGCTACAGCCATGGATAAAAGTACCCCAGATAAATGTCAGGCTGCTGCTCCATTTGTTGCCAAACATAAACCTTGGTAGACTTTTACGTGGTGTTAAGCTTGAGGATACACAGAGGGCGAGAGTTGAGGCTTGGGAGACTCTGCCTAGATTTCAGAGGATGTGTGAATATGCCTAGACGTCCAGGCAGAAGTCTGGTACAGAGCCAGAGCTCTCACAGAAAACCCCTGCAAGGGCAGTGCAGAAAGAAAATGTGGGCTTGGAGCCCCTACACAGAGTCCCCACTGGGACACTGTGTGGAGTTGTGAAAAGAGAGCCACTGTCCTTCAGACCCTGGAATTATAGATGCACTGGCAGCTTGCACTATGTGCTTGGAAAAGCTACAGACACTCAACATCAGCCCTTGAAAGCCACCATGGGATCTGAGTCCCACAGAGCCACAGGGGTACAGCTACCCAAGGCTTTGGGAGCCCACCCCTTGCATTAGTGTGGCCTGGATGTGATGACACATGGGGTCAAAGATTATTTTGGAGCTTTAGGATTTAATGACTGCCTTGCTGGGGGTTGGACTTTCGTGGGGCCTGTAGCCCCTTTGTTTTGGCTGATTTCTCCCTTTTGAAATGGGTGTATTTACCCAATGCTTTTACCCCCATTGTATCTTTGAAGTAACTAACTTGCTTTTTATTTTAGAGGCTCATGGGTGGAAGGAACTTGCCTTGTCTTGGATGAGACTTTGGACTGTGAACTTTTAAATTAATGCTGAAATGAGTTAAGATGTGCGGGACTGTTGAGAAGGGATGATTACATTTTGTAACGTGAGAAGGACATGAGATTTGGGAGGGGTCAGTGGTGGAATGATATGATTTGGATTTGTGTCACCTCCCAAATTACACATTACATCGTAAGCCCCAATGTTAGAGTTGGGGCCTGGTGGGAGGCAATTGGATCATGAAGGTGGATTTCCCCTTTGATGCTGTTCTTGTGATAGTAAGTAAGTTATCATGAGATCAGGTTGTTTAAAAGTGTGTAGGACCTCCTGCCCCTTTCTCTTCCTCCCGTAAGATGTACCTCCTTCCCCTTCACCTTCTGCCATGATTGTAAATAAGTTTCCTGAGGTCTCCCCAGCCATGTTTCCTGTACAACTTGCAAAACTGTGTCAATTAAACTTCTTTTTTTAAAAAAATAAATTATCCAGCCTTGGGTAGTTATTTATAGCAATGTGTGAACAGACTAATATAACTGTGCAAAAGAAAGACATAGAAGTCAGTGTTAGGCAAGATGGCCAAATAGGAACAGCTCTTGTCTGCAGTTGCCAGTGAGACCAACACAAAAGGCTGGTGATTTCTGCATTTCCAACTGAGGTACCCAGTTCATCTCATTGGGACTCGTTACGTAGCGGGTGCAGTCTACGGTGGGCAAGCAGAAACAGGGTGGGGCTCTGCCTCACCCAAACGTGCAAGGAGCCGGGGACCTCCCTCCCCCAGCCAAGGGAAGCTGTGAGGGACCGTGCTATCCAGCGGAGATACTATATTTTTCCCATGGTTTTTGCAATCTGCAGACCAGGAGATTCCCTTGTGTTCCTACACCACCAGGGCCCTGGATTTCAAGCACAAAACTGGGCAGTTGTTTGGGCAGACACCAAGCTAGCTGCATGAGGTTTTCCCTTTTCATACTTCAGTGGTGCCTGGAACTCCAGCAAGAGAGAACCATTTACTCCTGTGGAAAGGGGGATGAAGCCAGGGAGCCAAGTGGTCTCACTCAGTGGGTCCCACTCCCACAGAGCCCAGCAAGCTAAGAACCACTGGCTGGACATTCTCGTTGCCAGCACAGCCGTCTGAAGTTGACCTGGGACGATCAAGCTTGGTGGGGGAAGGGGTGTCTGCCATTACTGAGGCTTGAGTAGGCAGTTTTCCCATACCATTTCTGCAAAAATTTGTGGGTTAAGAAGAATGTTGGGTAGAAACAGCCAAGGTCATGTGTGTGACTTCAACCTTTTATTTTACTTTACTTTTCTCTGTCATGGTGGTTAATAGGTATAAAAATGAATAGTATTATTACTCTTAAGAATGAAATCAAGGCAATTTGATAAGAATATGGAAATGCATGACATTTTGTGACAGACATTTTGTCTATTAGCCTTTATTCTTTTTTTTAGTGAGTGTATTACATTATTTGCATATTTAGTGTAAAGATAATAGGTTTTATCTACGGTGAAACTCTTTTTGATAATTTATCCATAATTGAATTCGGCTCTTAGTTGGTATCTTGTGTGTATGTAAGTTTGTGTAGTTTAGCATCCTTGTATTATATTGCATGGGTTACTGCTTCAAAAAATTATGCGCCAAGGAGATAAATGTCAAGCTCAAAAAGTTCAAATTCTTAATTAAATCACCTGCCTTTTTTTCTCAGACACAGTGCATAGCAAATGGTCCAAATTTTAAGCAACACTGAGTTACTCTCTTCAATTTGACTAGCTTTGTTTTTTAGCTGCAAAATCTTCTTAGACTTAACAATATTTAACAAAAATGTATTGTGTGATACATTTACTTTTGGAGTGTGTGATCACTGTCAGTTGTATGATATTTTGCAGTATTTTCAGAGAAGTGTTGTATATTAACAATGATTGTATCCTTAAGTTGAATGATTGAATAATTGTCTTTTAGAAGTGATTTGGAAATAGTAAAATGAATGTGAGTTGACAGATACCAGTGATTTTAACAAGCCATTCAGAAACTACTCCATGTGATTTACGTGAGCTTTAACCCCTCAGTTTTAATGTGAGCTCAACTGAATGGCCAAATATATTGCAATCATTTATATATTGCAATCCCCTGGGATTCTAGAGTTTAAAAAATATAGGATTGTTCTCTTAGTGCTAGACGGTTAAATCCTTTAGAGAATGTACAATAACTTTTTTAATAAGAGCAGTGGTGACTACATCAAACCTACTGTGGAGTAAGCTGTTCCTATAATCATTGAGTAAATTAAAATTTATGAATTTATGAGTTTTATCTAATACACGAAACAGATAATGAATACATTAAGTACATATTGTCTCTATACAGTTGTCCCTTGATATCCATGGAAGATTGTTTCCAGGATTCCCCATGGATACCAAAATTCACAGATGCTCAAGTCCTTTATATAAAATGATATCATATTTGCATATAACCTATGCAGATCCTCTCATACACTTTAAATAATCTCTGGGCCACTTATAATACTTAATGAGATATAAATTCGATGTAAATAGTTGATAAATGGTATTATTTAGGGATTAAGGACAAGAACAAAATGTCTATACATGTTCAGTACAGACGCAACCACCTATCTCTTTTTTTTCCCTGAACATTTTCTATCCCTGTGGGTTTTGTGGTTGAATCCATGGATTCATGGAACCTATGGAGGGCTAACTGCATTGGCTTCCCTGTATCCTTTGAGAAACTGCTTCTCCTTTGCTCCATATAATTAGGGTGAAGCCGCAAGTCCTATGATCCTGCCTTTCATGTCGTAAAGATGCATATAAGACCCACGTTGGCCTATCTGTGTCAATTCCATCTCCTTGGATACGTGATTGTGTGGCGATGGGGATTAGTAAGTGACTAAGCAAAGCCAGAAAGCTTTCACTGATTAAGAATGCTAAAGACGTTGTCTGAATGAAGCGACAAATATCAGTTTTAAAATTTAGAACAAACTGCCTAACAGGTTAGTATAGAACAAATCAGACCTTATGAAGAGAGAAGTGTAAGGGTATGAGAATATGTGTGCAGTTATGTGCGTGCATGTGCATATAGACTTGTGTGAGTTTGGCTGAAGGGTAAATATTTGATGATACTTTCTTTGTTCACACTGCTTGAACGAACTACCACAAGTTGGTAGCTTATAAATGACAGCAACTTATTTCTCAAAGTTCTGAAATCTGGGAAGTTCAAGGTCAAGGTGCTGGTGAGTATTAATTCTTCAATGACCGAGATTTTGTTGTGTTTTTACATAATGAAAAGGGCACACAAGCTTGCTTGGGCCTCTTTTATTAGATCACTGATATCATCCATAAGGGATTCACCCTCATGATATAATCAACTCCCAAAGCTCCCACCTTTTAATACTATCACACTGGGAATTAGGTTTCAAGGTAGGAATTTTGGGGTGATGCAAACATTCAGACCATAGTAAGACTATTTGATTTTAATTCTGTTTTGGATTAATCCATTTCTTTTATTTTATTGTAGATTACTACAAGCTTAAGATGAGCACTGTCCTCCTAATTACTTACAAGTGTACAGAATAATATTGCTGAGTGTAGGTATGATGTTTTTCAGCAGATCTCTAGAGCTTGTTCATCTTGCTTGACTAAAACTTCACAACTGTCGATTGGTACTCCCCATGTTTTTTCCCCCAGCCCCTAGTAAACACCAATCTACTCTCAATTTGATTAATTTAGATAACACATATAAGTGAAATCACAATATATTTGTCTTTTTGTAGTGAACTTATTTCACTTATAGGTTTTCAGGTTCATCCATTTGTTGTCTATGCAGAATATTTTCTTTCTTTGACTGAATAATATTCTTTTGCATACATATGCTGCATTTTCTTTATCTACTCATCTGTCAATGGACATTTGGGGTGTTTCTATATCTTGGCTATGGTGAATAATACTGCAATAAATATAGAAGTACACATATCTCTCTGAGATCTTGATTTTAATTCTTTTAGATAAATATTCAGTATATACCCAAAGGACTATAAATCATACTGCTATAAAGACACATGCACACGTATGTTTATTGCGGCATTATTCACAATAGCAAAGACTTGGAACCAACCCAAATGTCCAACAATGATAGACTAGATTAAGAAAATGTGGCACATATACACCATGGCATACTATGCAGCCATAAAAAATGATGAGTTCATGTCCTTTGTAGGGACATGGATGAAATTGGAAATCATCATTCTCGGTAAACTATCGCAAGAACAAAAAACCAAACACCGCATATTCTCACTCATAGGTGGGAATTGAACAATGAGATCACATGGACACAAGAAGGGGAACATCACACTCTGGTGACTGTTGTGGGGTGGGGGGACGGGGGAGGGATAGCATCGGGAGATATACCTAATGCTAGATGAGGAGTTAGTGGGTGCAGCGCACCAGCATGGCACATGTATACATATGTAACTAACCTGCACAATGTGCACATGTACCCTAAAACTTAAAGTATAATAATAAAAAAAATAAAAATAAAATTCAAAAGTGGGATTGCTGGATTATATAATAGTTCTATTTTACAGTTATGTGGAATATCCATATTGTTTTATATAGCTTCTGTACCATGTTGCCTTCTCACCAACAGTGTGCATGGGTTCTAGTTTCTCTATATCCTTAAAAATATTTGCTGTGCTTTTTTTTTTTTTTTTACATAATAGCCTTCCTGACATGTCTAAGATGCTATGTCATTGTGCTTTTTATTTGCATTTCCCTGATGAATAGTGAGGTTGAACATTTTTAAATATACTTATTGGTCATTTGTATGTCTTCTCTGGAGACATGTCTGTTCAAACTTTTCCGTATTTTTAAAACAGATTACTGACTTATTTACCATTGCATTGTAGGAGTTCCTTATATACTTTGGAAATTAATTCCTTATTAGAAATATGGTTGGCAAATATTTTACGCTATTTCGTAGGTTGTCTTTTCACTCCATTGATTGCTTCCTTTCCTGTGCAGTGAATAAAGCCACTTTGATTTAAATTTATGAGTTAAGTTTTTGTTTTGTGTTTTACTTCATGTTTTTTAAAAGTTGATTTAAGTTTAATATCTATTACTAGGAAGCTTTATTAATTCGAAATTATACTCCCAACTCAATAAAATATTTTAAAGATTATCTGACAATTAAAATGCTGTAACAATAGTATTATTTTTTATGAACTACAACTACAATATGTGAATGCCATTTTTGTTTTTCTCCTAAATGTCACTGAAAAAAAGGAGAACATTTTTGCCTCAAAATGTATATTTATGTGTTCCTTCCCATAATAAAATAACACTTCAGAATAGCCAACTTTACCTTAAAGGTTTTGTTCTAACTCTGTATGTGTGCAGTAAATACATTATTAAGAATTTATTATATACTAGATAGAGAAAGAAACTGAAAGCCAGACAGACAGACAGAGGTTACAACCTTCCTTTGTACTTGTGGAGCAGTCGGGGAAATGGTACAAAGAAAGTAAGAAGGAATTCAATAAAAAGAAGTCAATAGACTAAATTTTTCGACAGGAGTGAAGACATAATTTGTGTTTAAAGGTATTCCAAAAATACTGTGATGAACAACCATTGACCACTTTAAGGGAGAAGCATTTTCTAACACAGTGGTGACAGCCTCTAACAGTGCTTACATAAATAGCATATGATAGACGGTAATTAAATGTAGAAAAGCTTACACAAAACCCAGCTTCACTCAATGATTTACTGGATAAAGAAAACGTGGCACATATACACCATGGAATATTATGTAGCCATTAAAAGGATGAGTTCATGTCCTTTGCAGGGACGTGGATGAAGCTGGAAGCCATCATTCTCAGCAAACTCAGCAAACATCATTCTCAGCAAACACAGGCACAGAAAACCAAAAACTTCATGTTCTCACTCATAAGTGGGAGTTGAACGATGAGAACACATGGACACAGGGAGGGGAACATCACACACTGGGGCCTGTCCGGGGGGTGGGGGCAAGGAGAGGGAGAGCATTAGGACAAATACCTAATGCATGTGGGGCTTAAAACCTAGATGAGGGGTTGATGGGTGCAGCAAACCACCATGGCACATGTATACCTATGTAACAAATCTGCATGTTCTGCACATGTATCCCAGAGCTTAAAGTAAAATTTAAAAAAAAAAGAAAGAAAAATCTTCTTTGTCGGGGATTATCACTACATTTTTCACTGATTTGAGAGAAACATGCAGCTTTCTGTCTTTGAATGACTACAACTGTGGGAAATCATATTTATTTCCATCTTAAAAGTACATTCCTCGTGAACAGAGATATACCAAAGTCCTAAGAAGGCCTCAGTGACTAGTAGGTGTCATTTAAGTTTGCAGTAGGTGCACATGGAAGGCAAATCAATGATTTTTTTTTTCTGTAAGGTTTAAGCAGATAAAGAAGAACTTTTGCAAAATGTCACTTGAAACTCAAAATAAAATAGAAACTTATAGACGGTTCTCAAGACAGTGAGAGCAATGAAATAGTTTCTCTTTAAATCTCAAACAGTGTTTATTAACTATAAAAATAGAACAGTCAAAAGTCAGAACATTGTAAGATCTTTTCACAAACTTGTTTTTTCTCTCTACGTACACAAGCTTTACTTGCTAAGCAGGAAACTATGGAATTGTTTTTCCTTGTAAGTAAAAAAGTTAAATAGTTTTTTACCTCAGAAATAACTTGTGGCCGGGCGCGGTGGCTCACGCCTGTAATCCCAGCACTTTGGGAGGCCGAGACGGGCGGATCACGAGGTCAGGAGATCGAGACCATCCTGGCTAACACGGTGAAACCCCGTCTCTACTAAAAATACAAAAATTAGCCGGGCATGGTGGCGCGTGCCTGTAGTCCCAGCTACACAGGAGGCTGAGGCAGGAGAATGGCGTGAACCCGGGAGGCGGAGCTTGCAGTGAGTCGAGATCAAGCCACTGCACTCCAGCCTGGGCGACAGAGCGAAACTCCGTCTCAAAAAAAAAAAAAAAAAAAGAAATAACTTGTATTACTAGTGGCCTTCTACCATGTATTACATCATACACTCATTTATTTCTTTATATGGAATTTAGGATTTTAGCATCTAATATATACAATGTTCTTTTCAAGGCACCACAAGGCTATAGTTTTTGATACGTTTGACAAATCTTATGCCCTCATTGAAGATATACTCTAGTAATAATATAATAATAGATATAATAAGCAGTGATATGATATATACATAATAAAAGTAACTAAGATTATATTCGTATTCATCTTTATTTTCATTTTAGTAACTACTTTGTATAGGTTGTATAAACATACATTATGTATTGTTATGAATGAGTAACTTTGTAGCCTTGGTTAATGTTGAGTGATTTTAATATGGTAAGTATGGGAGTATTTTGAAAAAAAGTAGTAATTGCTAGACAAATATTTTAACTGCTATTATATTTTAAAAACACAGTTGCACTGAAATATACTGTCATTATTCAATTTAATTGAGTGCATTTTAGGACCAGGTGCTTGCTTACCCTCCCATTTAATTGGGTACTTGTTTTTTCCACCTTAAAGATTTTTCTTCAAGTGCGTTGCCACGTAACCAATGTATTTTCAACTTATAGTCAGTTCTTGATTACCTCCTGGGATTACTCCATTATGGATTACCTGTAACAAACTTTGCTTTTCAGAACTTATTGACATCGCTATCTTCTACACTTCTAATTAAGTCATTTCCTGACATTCAGGCTGTTTCCCCAACTAGTAAAGTCTGTTTTAAAAGTCAAACTAGTTTCTGACTGCATTTATACATTGTAAATTTCAGGCAACCATCATAGTTGAATAAGTTTTTCAATTTAAGTATTCAAAATTTTCAAGGTATTAGGGAATATTTTCTTCTATCCAGGAAAGTAAATCCAATAAATCAAAATGTTTAATGGCCATATTCAAATCTAAGTCATTACAAACCAGAAATATGACAATTACTGAGAGACATAAGGTCATAAAAGATGTATAGTTTTTCCTCATATTGTTATGCTTGAAGAATGTGAGTGGGTTGCAAGGGTACAGGGATCCATTCTTTGATCCTTCTCTCAAAGCATCTTTTCCACCGATTAGCTGATTTTTAAAATTAAATTTTAAAGAAACGTTTCCTAATTATGCATAGCATTTTAATGCAAATTACTAATATCAGAAATGAGTATTTCTGAGATCAGTAAATATTTAGGCAAAATTCTAAGCCTTTGTATGTGGCACTCTTGAGAGGGAAGTAAGACACACATTCTCTCTCTCTGTTTTCATTAACTCATCTTCGAGGGTCAAGTCCTGTGGGGACAAATGAGTCCGTGACATTTTTCATAGTCACTTGCTCACCTGATGCTAACCTCACCCTCTTCACTGCTGAAATGCTATTTTTGTAATCCTACTCACAGCTCCGTGCCTTATTTCTTAGCATCTCTGGAATTGCCTATATTTGCTCATGTACAAATCCTACAACATTGTTTCACACAGACCTTACAATTGCATATTGATTATGCCTTTTCATGTTGTTTCTACATGTGCTGCCTTTTGTTAGAGGAATCTTTCTCTTCCTAAAGTGTTCTACACCCAATACTCTCAAAGTAGTAAGACCCAAAAACTAAACAGTGCTGTATTCCTATGAGTATTCACTGAACTGGGGCTGCGTGGAAATACATCCACATATAAGTCAAGTGGCCCTCTCCTATAGATTCAATTAGACTCTTAAAGTCCATAAGAACAACATCTATAGTTTAAATTTAGGTAAGTAGATGCCCTGCCAAAAATACTTAGGTAATTATATATTATATAAGTCACATAAATGTAACATAATATAAAATATGTATTTTATTATTCTATATATGCATAACTACAGAGACACAAGCATTCATACACATACACATGTATACACATAAATACATGAGTATAATTACATATACATGTGTATGTAATTATGTATGTATAATCACATATACATGTGTATGTAATTATGTATGTATAATCACATAAACACAAGTATGCATATGTAACTATGTATATTATATGCATAATTACATATGCCCATGTATGTGTATGCAATTATGTATATTATGTATGTATAATTACATATACACATATGTGTAATTATACACATATATGTATTTATGTGTATACATGTGTATGTGTATGAATGCTTGTGTCTCTATGTAGTTATGCACATATAGCATAATGTAATAAATACATATTTATATATATGCACTTCCAGTTCTAGCTGTCTTGCTTAAAATTTCTTCCTCCATTTACCTCTTTCCTCTGTCCCTTTACTGTAAGTACCAAGAAAAAAATGAGCTGCATCTTCAACACTTGCTTGAAAATTTCCTCCAGTAAATATCCAAATTTATTGCTTACAAATTCTGCTTTCTATATATCTGTAGGTTGCACATTTGATTCTATCACAAGCAGGATATCAAGAGTTATAAATAGTAGGCATTTGACTTAAGAGCTAGAAAGAAAGCTAGGAAAAGTTCAAGTTTCTAAGTCATCACTTATGGATAAAGTACATAAAGCAATTCCATTGAAATGAATTCCCTCAACACTAAAATAAATGTTGCAAAAAATTATCCTCACAAAATATATTTTTTGTAACACTCTCCATTCTTCTAAATAATTATCTAAACTTTTCTTGTCTTTGCTTATTATTGACATTTTCAACTCTTTGTTAGACTGTAAATATTTAAATATTTATTTACACTTTTTCTAGGAATGCTGTAAATATGCATCATGTCAATCAGTAGATAAACAAAATAGAAGAAAAGAATGTGATCTGTCTATATCACTTAAATATGAGATACTTCACATCATTATCTTAGGTTTTCACATATGTGTACCTTTTAAGGAGAATTAAATAATTTTGGCATGAATAAAATATGAGTAGTGAACTGTATACCCAGTCTAAATAGTTGAAAATTCAACACAAACTATGTTGAGTAATATTGAAAATTGCATAAAAATGTCTTTGGTAGACTTTTAGTTTATCTATTAGTATCTATCCACGTATCATTTATCTGCCTATCTTTCTATGATGTATCTATCTATGTATTTTTGTATCCCTGTATTATAAGTACATATAAGCTTACTAAAAGGATCTGAGCAACACAACTGGGGATATTTCTAGCCAAATAGAAATAAAAAAATCACAGAAACTGGTTTTGTATTTCGTGTTTTTTTGAGATGGAGTTTCACTCTGTCGCCCCAGCTGGAGTTCAGTGGCAGGATCTCAGCTCACTACCACCTCCATCTCCCAGGTTCCAGCGATTCTCCTACCTCAGCCTCCTCAGTAGCTGGGATTACAGGTGCCAGCTACCACACCCAGCTAAATTTTTTGTGTTTTTAGTAGAGACAGGGTTTCACCATATTGGCCAGGCTGGTCTCGAACTCCTGACCTCAAGTGATCCACCCACCTCAGCCTCCCGAAGTGCTGGGATTACAGGCCTGAGCCACCACTGGTTTTGTATATCATCAAAAAAATTACATTTCGATAAGTTAGTCATGTCATTCATTCAACCTTCTTTTTTGGGGCGGGGGGGCGGTGGGGGATGGAGTCTTACTCTGTCGCCCAGGCTGGAGTGCAGTGGCGCTATCTCGGCTCACTGCAAGCTCTGCCTCCCGGGTTCATGCCATTCTCCTGCCTCAGCCTCCTGAGTAGCTGGGACTACAGGCGCCCGCCACCACGCCCGGCTAATTTTTTTTTTTGTATTTTTAGTAGAGACGGGGTTTCACCATGTTAGCCAAGATGGTCTCAATCTCCTGACCTTGTGATCCGCCCGCCTTGGCCTCCCAAAGTGCTGGGATTACAGGCATGAGCCACCGTGTCTGGCCTGTCATTCAATCTTCTTATACTACAGTTTCCTCTTCCAAAAGCAGGGCAAATACCTACCTAATAGAATTATTTCAAATGTCATGTATTAAATACACAATGGTGTTCTTTTTTTTTCCTTGCTCTCTGCATATACCTCCTGATTAGTTCTGTTTCCCTAATCCTTCAAACTTACCATCAAAGCATAAAAAAAATTGTAGCAAGGTATTTTTAACTATAAAACAAAAGGTTCATTGCCCTTTGTGTTCGATTAATTTATTTATTCATCGAAGACATACTTTAGTAAACATATGTATATGCCACCGTTATAGGTACTAGAAAAAAATAGTTTTAAACAAGAAAGACAAGCTATTTTTTTCTAACAGAGTTTACTGACTAGAGGAGAATATGGATAATAAATAGACTATGAAATGAATTTAATTACAGCGGTAAGTACTCTAAATAAATCAAAGCATGGTAATGAGATAGAGAATCATTGAAGTCTATTTATATGGTACTTAGGAGGGGTATTTTCAATTAATTCCTATTAAGACAGAGACCTGAATAAGTGGAGAGACAATTATGTGAATATTTGGGGAATAATTACCTAGGAAGAAAAAAAGTTGAGAAAGCCAAAATAGCATTGATATAGTTGTATTACATCAGATCGGTATGATTATAGAAATAAAAGTTTAATAACAGAGGAACTTGATAGAAAACGAAGCTGAGGAAACACATACAGATGGAATCCCGGAAGGCCTCATGTGAATTATGGTAAGAATTTTAAATTGTATTTAATATTTAAGGTGCTAGAGTATTGAGACCAAATGACAAAAAAAAAATGAATTGTGTTTTTAAAAGAATTTTCACTGCTATGTGGAGAATGTAGAGAAAGAAGAGTAGAATCATGAAGACCACTTTGAATCTTTTGCCATGGAATGCATTACATTTGTTTACGGGTGGATGAGAAAATAGACACATTTTCCCCCAAAATAAGTCACTTCACTATCATCAAGCTGATAAGAACATTTTCATTAAAAATAGAAAGAAAAATATGGTCTCTCTCCACACTTAATGACTTCCCTTTATTTGAAAAAATACAGCATAAAAGTCTTTGGGCATAGTGCTATAAAATGAATAATTATGGATAAAAGATTCAAGAATTATGGACATATTTCTATCCCAAAAGATAAAGGTTTTGCTAAGTTGATGGCACTACCGGCTATTACCCTTTGCTCTTTCCTTATCTATACACTTTCAAGTGTACCCTTACAGTGCGGTCTATAACGGGCAAGGCTTTCTGCACTGCCCCTTGATTCTGAGCTCAGTCACTTGATTAACTTTTTTTTCTTATAAATGTAAGGGTATAAGTGCAGTTCAATTACATGGATATATTGCATAGTGGTGAAGTCTGGGCTTTTAGTGTAACCATCACCCAAATAATGTGCATAGTACCCATTAAGTAATTTTTTCTCCCTCACACCCCTCCAACGCTGTCAACATTCTGAATCTCCGGTGTCTATTATTCCACATGCTATGACCATGCGTACATATTACTTAACTCCCGCTTATAAATGAGAACATACAGTATTTGGCTTTGTGTTTCTGAGTTGTTTCTCTAAGACAGTGGTCATCAATTCCATCCACGTTACTACAAAAGACATAATTTTATAATTTTTATGGGTAAATCGTACTCCATCTATGTTGCTGCAAAAGACATTATTTTATGGGTAAAGAGTATTTCATTGTTATATCACATTCACCTTGAAATGTTAGCAAGCATGACAAAGAGACAAAGAAGAATACTTTAGTATTTCAGGTACTGCACTTTTCCTCTGCTATCAACATGAGGAGGACATGCCTAGGCTAGTCCAGGGTAAAAGTATTAGAAATATATGGGCCAGAGTAATGAGGCATTAGATTTCTTCACCAAAACTATCATAGATCAACACAAATCTAACCAACACCCAACAAGCAGATACTCATAGCCAACCTAGCTTATATCAGGTAAAGCACTCAAATTCCTGAGCTAATACTAATGTCAATCAGGTTGTGCGATTGTAATGCAACATAATGGTCACAATATGTAACTGATACAATAGCGCAGAGAAGTGAATAAAATAACTATATAAGAAACTTTTCTGAAAGGACATTAATCCATTTTGAGGCTTGAGTCTCAGCATTTGGAAGTCTTCGGTATTAAAAATATCTTAATCATCATAGGCTTATGGATTAAAATAGCAAAGAGGATTACTTTCCTATTTCCCATTTGGAACCCTAGAGAAAGTTTCACAAAATGTGAGAGGTCTAAGTGATGCAAAGGGGTTGGAAATTGCAGGACAGAAAATCCTCCAAGTTTGTTAACATTTCTCATTCTATACACACCCTACTCTTCCCCCTCCATGACTGTCACTACCCTTCTGTTTTGTTTTTACAGGACCTGGGATGGAATTCTGAAATTATTGTGAGCCCCACTTCAAATCCACACCCCCTCCAAAACAATACATGAGAGATACCTTGTAGTATTGATACAGTGAGTTACCTGAAGGTCTGTAGAAGTTTGCGTGGGGCTGAGAACAGAATGTAATCTTAAAAGGAGATTCTTTGGGAGGCCGAGGCGGGCGGATCACGAGGTCAGGAGATTGAGACCATCCTGGCTAACACGGTGAAACCCCGTCTCTACTAAAAATACAAAAAAATTAGCCGGGCGTGGTGGCGGGCGCCTGTGGTCTCAGCTACTCCGGAGGCTGAGGCAGGAAAATGGCGTGAACCCGGGAGGCGGAGCTTGCAGTGAGCGGAAATTGCGCCACTGCACTCCAGCCTGGGAGACAGAGCGAGACTCCATCTCAAAAAAAAAAAAAAAAACAAAGGAGATTCTGTGCCCGCAGGGGAAGATACTTTGGGTACTCCAGCAGTAGATGCAGTAAGGATAGAGACAAAGCACAGAGAAAAATGTTAATGAACTAGAGTGTACCTTTGGATAAAGGGAGCATTCAAAAATTCTGGAAGACTAAGTATTTACCACTTAATAGACAAAATCTAGTTCTTGTTTATTCGACATGTATTTACTGATCAGCTGGTATGTGCCAAATATTGGTCTAGACTCTGGGGATGCAGCAAATAATTTTAAAAAGAGACAAAAGGTGAGACTGAGTAAATCTGAGTTACTGAAATAAATCAGAAGTGATTGTTAATTTACATGAATTTCATTAGGTATGATGCTTGTTTTCTGGATACTGAGTGTGAATGGTAAATTATGAGAAAGTTAAACAGTTATGGAGAAAAATAGTTAATTTCTACATATTTGAGTTAACGCTCCAGAACTGAAACCAATGTCAAGAATAAATGGTATATTTGATCTCTGATGAATATTTTTATATTAGCATGTTTATGAAGATATTTGGATTGGAAAGTAACTCAAGAAAAACAGCATGAATTTTCAGAATAAGTGAACATTGCCTAATAACAGAACATATCATTTGATATAACTATCCTTATTTATTTATGTATTTATTTTCTTTGCTGTAATGGAAAAACAAAAATTAGCAACTTAATTCAGGAAAGTACTGAGTATTTGTTTCTTTCTTATTATCTGTGAATGATAGTCTGAAATGTCAAAAGTGGTAATTATATGCAAAATAATATGACATAACTTTATAAACATTTAAAATGCATTAAAGTCCATTAAAATTATGCTTTGGTTTCTGAAAGTACAAAATGTCTTTCCTAGAAATACTTGTATGTTGGACCTGGCAGAACTACAATTCTTTCACATTTTAAATAACAACAATGTAAAACGAGGCTGCAGCTGTCTCAGAGGAACCCTCAATCAATTGTTTTTCTGCTTTTCCAGACTCTCATTTATGTAACTGAAACAGATATTGCCAACAGAGCAACTCCAAGAAAACATTACAAACCATTAAACAATAAGGGTTTCTGACCTGTTATTTTCTTCCACTAAGGGGAATATAAGGATTGAGAATAAACTGAAGAAGTCAAATAGCCAGATTCATTCAAAACAGAGCATGAAAAAAAAAATCAGAGCAAATTGGAACGTAAAGCTGTATCTCTAGCAGCTTCAGATCAACAAATACATAAACTTTTCATACAGTAACCTAAATAGTGGATTGACTAAGGCATAAATAGATAATCTAGGACTTGTTTATTCAATGTGTATTTACTGATCACTTGTATGTGCAAAGTATTGATCTAGATTCTGGGGATGCAGCAAATAATTTTTTAAAAGAGACAAAATTTTACTCTTTTGGATGTGACAAGATAGTATTTTCTTTCTTCATTTTTTCCTTTTATTCATTTATTCAACAAATATGTAATGAAGACCAATGATGAGGTGATAGTATGACGGTTCCTAAATCCACTTTGATGAATAGACAGGTTGATTTTCTGCCCTCATAACGCTGGAAGCATAGTGCATTTGCATGCCTCTAGAGTTGTAAAAAATAAGTGACTTGACTTTCCTTTCTAAAAATATTTATCTAAACTTTGAATTCGGAATGGTAAAATATGGGAAGTAAATTTAATTAATGGATCTAAAGTCTTTAATTGTGTTAAGTACCATGGGTGTTGCGAAGTTGAAATTCTATTAGTCTCCACTCTTTAGCAACCCTTTGATATATCCAACATTTTAACATCTGTTTTAAACTAATGATCTCTATTGAACTGTTACTGACTCTTGGTGCAAAAATGATTGCGGGTTTTGCCATTACTTTTAATGGCAAAGCCAATAAAACAATATTGTTTGTATTTAAATAATAAATTACGATTTTTGTTTTTAAAGTTATAAAAGGCATATTCATAGTCAACATAGTACAAATTCCTGCTTTGTGGACAGTGAAGGTATTTCATTATGATGCAATATGATTTTGTATTTAAAGTTTTAAGGGGCACATTCATAGTTAACATAGTTTAAATCCCTGCTTTGTGGACAGTGAAGGTATTTCTGTTGATGAGATCTCTCTGGCTCAACTATCCACTTAATTATATCCAGCTGGGCAGACTCAACTGCCAAGGCACAAAGAAACTCATTTGGTAAGTGAACCCTGGCCGAGATAGAAAAAAGAACTTCTTGGTTCTCATTTTCCCCACCCTATGCATGAATAGTTGACCAACGTCTATATAGAGTCTTCAAAATTATTGCAGCTATCATTTCACAAATTGCTCTTTTCCTGACAGCAAAGACTCACTCAGTTTTCTGAAATTTTGAAGAGACTCTTTATGGGAATACAAATGGTGGTTGTCAGAGAAAAAAAAAAGCGTGCTTTTTCATCAATCTGACTCAATAGAAAATGAAGTCTACCGTAAAGTTGTGCTTCTGTCATTCAAGGTCAAGAAACAGTTAAGTAACATCACTCAAAGGATTCTGAAGCTAGTCGTCCCTATTCTTGTTCCAGAATCTATGAGATTGCTTCTTCCTTTTTATGCCCTTTACCAAGGGGGAGTAAAGGAATTTTATAAGAGGGAGATTTTATTGCATAATAGAAGAAAATATATTTTTATGCCAGAGTGTTTCTATCCCTAATGTGGTCCCCAGGTTTCATTTACCTTCGACTCCACTTGATTTTACTCTGTACTTTCTTACACTATGCTCTGTGCTCTGGAACCCTGGATTTCATATTCTATATGGGTTATTGTATCCTCTGGCTTCTGGTTAGATACAGCTGTGGGAGTGAAAATTAGGGCATTAGCAGAAGAAGCCATGGAGGGTGGGTATTCGGTGCTGGCTACATTTAAGACAGGCAAGAGGTAGAGTGTCTGGATTTCTCCATGGAAGCCACAGTGCCTTTGGGGAAGTTATCTTTTACTATCATTTTCTCTTCTCAAGTTCAGGCTGAGAAGGACTTTCCCTATATGAGACTGCAGCGCTATCTGAACTGTTAGTATTTCTAGGCTGGAAAGAGCCAAGGAAGCAAAAAAATGCAGAAAGGTATATTAGTCTGTTCTCACACTGCTATAAAGAACTACCTAAGACTGGGTCATTTATAAAGAAAAGAAGTTTAATTGATTCATAGTTCCACAGGCTGTACAGGAGGCATGGCTGGAGAGGCCTCAGGAAACTTACAATCATGGCAGAAGGGTAAAGGAGAAACAAGCATGTCTTCACATGGTGGCAGGAGAGAGAGTGAAGGGCGGAAGTGACATACACTTTTTATGATCAGAATTATAATTCAACATAAGATTTGGGTGGGGACAAAGAGCCAAACAATATCAAAGGGAGATGATTATCTCTCGCCAGTCTCTCTCAGCTCCAGCAAAGAAGCACTTTGACTCCTCAGTTAGAGGGTGCTTTGGAAAAATTATTGAATCTCTTGCACTGTGGGATGCCCTAAAACTCTGGTTCCAGCACCAACGACACACGCAACAGAAAGAGAAAGACCAGAATTTCAATTGCCTTGTAGAGCAAGGTACAATTTTTGAAAAATAAAATAGAAAAAAGTCTGAAAACATTAGTTAAATTATTTTCACTTAACATTTTCACAATATTTATGTTTCTAGAAGATAAGCCTAATGAAAACTTTATTTTGTTTTCATTGTATTTATTAGTTATATTTTATTGTGGTAAGGCCACACATGATATCTATCTTCTTAACAAATTTTGAATTGTACAGTACAGTATGGTTTACTGTAAGCACTATGCTGTAGAGAAGATCTCCAGAATTTTTTCATCTTCCTTAACTGAAACTTTATACCATTTGAAGAGCAACTAGTCATTTCTTTCTCCTCCCATACAGTGTAAATTGCCATTCTATTTTCTGCTTCTATGAATTTGACTATTTACATCATCTCGTAAAAGGTATCATGCATAAAATACATATCTTCATAAAAGGTATCATGCAGTTGCCGAGACCAGCTCGGTTGGGGAGACCCTAACCCAGTGGTGCCAGAGGAATTAAAGACACACACACAGAAATATAGAGGTGTGAAGTGGGAAATCTGGGGTCTCACAGCCTTCAGAGCTGATAGCCCCTAACAGAGATTTACCCACATATTTATTAACAGCAAACCAGTCATTAGCATTGTTTCTATAGATATTAAATTAACTAAAAGTATCCCTTATGGGAAACGAAGGGATGGGCCAAATTAAAGGAATAGGTTGAGCTAGTTAACTGCAGCAGGAGCATGTCCTTAAGGCACAGATTGCTCAACCTATTGTTTGTGGCTTAAGAATGCCTGTAAGTGGTTTTCCACCCTGGGCGGTGCAGGTGTTCTTTGCCCACATTGCGGTAAACCCACAACCTTCCAGCGTGGGCGTTAGGGCCATTATGAACATGCTACAGTGCTGCCGAGATTTTGTTCATGGCCAGTTTTGGGGCCAGTTTATGGCCAGATTTTGGGTGGCTTGCTCCCAACATACATATCTGCATAAAAGATATCATGCAGTATTTGTCCTTCTGTTGCTGGCTTATTTCTCTTACCATAATGTCCCTGATGTACATTCATGTTGTCACAGATCACAGAATTTCTTTCTTTTAAGGCTGAATAGTATTCTATTTGATGTATACACCATAATTTCTTTATGCAATTATCAGTCCATAGGCATTTTAATCTTTTCCACAGCTTGACTATTGTAATTAATGCTGAAATGAATATGGAAATGAAAATATATCTTCAAGATCCTGGTATCAATCTCTTTGAATGTATACCCAGATGTAGGATTGCTGGGTTATAAGGTTATTCTATTATTAATGTTTTAAGAGAATTTCATACTACTTTTTGTAGTATCCATACCGTTTTACATTTCAACGACAAAAAAAAAACATTTAATTGCTCCACAAACCCACCAATATTTATTTATTTAGATAATTATTTTAACAATATGAGATGACGTCTCATTGTGAATTGGATTTTTATTTCCCTAGTTATCAGTGATGTTGATCAATATTCATATAACTGGTGGCCATATGTCTGTCTTATTTGGAGAAATGGTGATTTAAGTCTTTGGCCCATTATTTAATTGGGTTACTTAAGTGGATTTGGTGGTTATTCTTTGCTTTTATTATGTTTTGCTGTTGAATTATAGGGGTCCCTTATATATTTTGGATAATAACCTCTTATCAGATAAATGTTAAGCAATTAGTTTTTCTCATTTTATTGATTGTTTTCTTTGCCATGCAGAAGATTTTTAGTTTGGTGTTATACCACCAGTCTACTTTTACTTTTCTTGCTTATGTTTTTACTCTCATAGCCAGTAAGTCCTTGCTAAGACCAATGCCTGGAAGCTTTTTCCTATGTATTCTTCTAGGAATTTTGCAGTTCAGATCTTAAGTTGACATCTTTAATCCACTTTGACTTGATTTTTAGGTAATATGTAAGATAAATGTCCACTTTCATTTTTTTCCATGTTGATATCTGCTTTTTCATATGTTATATATTGAAAATACTATTATTTTCCTATTGTGCATTTATGGCATCATTTTCAAAAGTCAGTTGACTGTACATGTATGGATTAATTTCTAGCCTCTTCACTCTGTCCCATTGGTCAATATGTTTGTCTGCATGCTAGTATCATACTGTTTTAGTTCCTGCAACTTTGAAGAATGCTTTGAAATAAAAAAAAGTGTTTGCTTTAGTTTTGTTCTTTATCAAGATTGTTTTCTCCACTCAGCATTTTTGTTGTTCCATACTAATTTAAAGTCTCTTTATTCTATTTTTTAAGTAGAGATTTTGAAAGAAACTGCATTAAATCTGTAGGTCACTTTGGGTAGTATGAACATTTTTAAAAATATAATACTTCCAATCTATGAATATGGGATACTTTTTCAATTATTTGTGTATCCTACAATTTCTTTCAGCAGTACATTATAGTTTTCCAATTACACATTTTTTATTCCTTGGTTAAATGTATTTCTAAGTATTTTAATTTTTGATGCTATGGTAAATGGGATTATCTTTTAAAATTTCTTTAAAAACAGTTTGTTGTTAGTGTGTAGAAACAAAATTGATTTTTGTATATTGATTTCTACCCTGTAAATTTACTGAACACATTTATTAAACTGGCAAGTTTTGTTGGTGGAATCTTCAGAATTTTCTACATACAAGATTATGTCATCTGTGAGCAGAGTTAATTTCACTTATTTCTTCTCAAATTGGGATGTGCTTTGTTTCTTTTTCTTGTCTAATAGCACTAGCTTGGACTTTTTGTACTATATTTAATAGAAGTACAAGAGTAGACATTCTTGTTTCTGATTTTAGAGGAAAAGCTTTCAGGGTTTTCATCTTTGAATATAATATTATCCAGAAGCTTTTGAAGGTGGCCTTTATTATTTTGAGGCAATTTCTTTTTATACAACATTTGTTAGAAATTTTTTTTAATCATAAAAGGGCATTAAATTTTGTCATTTTTTTCTTTCTGCATCTTTAAAATGACCATGTGATTTTTAGCATTCATTCTGTTAATGTAATGTATCAAATTAACTAATGTTTATATGTTAACACATATTTGCATCTTGGGGATAAATTCTACTTGGTCATGCTTTATGATTCTTTAAGTGTTCTCTCTCTGGAATTCTGTTGGCTAGTATTTTGACGAATTTTACATCTATACTGATAAGGTTAAGGGAGGAGACCACCCCTCATATTGTCTTATGCTCAATTTCTGCCTCCAAAGAAAAAAGAAGTGAAAACTAAAAGGCAGAAATCAAATCCACAGGCTGTCAGCTCAGTGCCACACCCTGGGCCTGGCAGTTAAAGATCGACCCCTGACATAATCGGTTATGTTATCTATAGATTACAGACGTTGTATGGAAAATCACTGTGAAAATCCCTGTCCTGTTCTGTTCCGTTCTAATTACCAGTGCAGGTGCATGCAGCCCCCAGTCATGTACCCCCTGCTTGCCCAATCGATCACGACCCTCTCACACTGACCCCCTTAGAGTTGTAAGCGCTTAAAAGGGACAGGAATTGCTAATTTGGGGAGCTCGGTTTTTGAAGATGTGAGTCTGCCGATGCTCCCAGCTGAGTAAAGCCCTTTCCTTCTACAATTCGGTGGGTTCTTGTCTGCAGCTCATCCTGCTACGAGGTGTTTTGACCTACGTTTTCTGATAGTGTCTTTTTCTGGCTTTGATATCAGAGTAATATTGGCCTCATAGAATGAGTTTGGAGAAGTTCTTTCCTCTTTAATACTTTGGAAGAGTTTGAGAATGATTGTCATTAATACTTCTCTAAATATTTTATAGAATTCACCATTGAAGTAATCTAGTCCTGAAGTAATTTACCTTTTTTGTTGGGAGGTTTTTGATTAGTAATTCGGTATTCTTAATAGTTAGTATTATCTTCAAATTTTCTATTTCTTCATGATTCATTGTTGGTAGGTTACATCTTTCATGGAATTTATCTATTTCTTCTAGGTTATGCCATTGTTGACATATAATTGTTCTTAGTAGTTTCTTATAATCAGTTTTACATCTGTGGCACTGGTTGCAATGTCTCTTTCATTTACATTTCCATTTACTCAAATCTTCTCTTTTTTTCTTAGTATAGCTAAAGATTTGGCAACTTTGCTTGTCTTTAAAAAGACAACTCAATTTGTTACCTCTTTTTATTGTTTTTCCGTCCTTTTTTTATATTTCTGCTCTAATCTTTGCATTTTTTTTCTTCTACTAATTTGAGCTTAGTTTTCTCTTCCTTTTTTAGTCTCTTGGGATGTAAAGTTAGATAGTTCATTTGAAAACTTGTTTTTTTAAATGTAGGTACTTACCGCTGTAAACTTTTCTCTTAGTGCTGCTTTGATGCATGTTATAAATATTGGTATGTTGTGTTTTCATTATTGTTTCTGCAAGATATTATATTAGATTGTGTTAGATTTTTCTAATGTTGATAAGATATTTTCTAATTTTTAAAAACTTCGTGTTTGAACTATTGGTTACAAGTGTGTTGTATAGTTTTCACAGATTTGTGAATTGTTCAGTTTTCTTCTGCTCTTGATTTCTAATTTTATTCCACTGTGGTCATAAAGACACTTGGCATGATTTCAGTCTTCTCAAATTTGTTAAGGCTTGTTTTGAGACCTAACGTGATCAATACTGGAGAATATTCTGTGTGTGCTTGAAAATAATGTTCATTCTGCTGCTGTTTTGTAAAATGTCTTCATGTTTCTATAAGTTCAATTTTCTATTTAGTATTGTTCAAATACTTGGTTTTCTCATTAACTTTCTATCCAGATATTTTATCCATTTTGAAAACGAAGTAATGAAATCTTTTACTTTTATTGTTTTGCTGTCTACTTCTCACTTCAGTTCTGTCAATGTTTGTAACACATATTTAGGTGTTCTGATATTGGGTAAATATTATTTAAGAATTTTTTATTTTTATGGTGAATTCACTCTTTAATCATTACATAATATTTTTCTTTATTTCTTATGATATTGGTTGACTTAAAGTCTGTTTTGTCTAATATAAATATGGCTGCCTCTGTTCTCTTTAGATTACCATTTGCATGGACTAGTTTTTCCATTCCTTCACTTTTAGCCTATGACTGTCCTTAAATCTAAACTGAGCTCCTTGTACACAGCATATATTTGGTTCTTGTTTTTTGCTTGTTTGTGTGTTTTTAAAATGCATTTAACTATTCTATGCCTTTGAGTTGAGGAGTTTAAAACATTTACATGTGAAGTAAACATTGATAGAAAAGTACTTAATGTTGCTATTAAATTGTTAATTTTTTTCTGTTTGCCTTGTACTTCTGTCCCCTTTCCCTCTCTTGCTATCTTTCTTTGTTTTTAGTTAATTTTCTGCAATAATATAATTTGATTCCTTTCTCGTTTTCTTTTGTGTTTCTTAAGTTTTTTAAATGATTATCATAGGTTTACACAAAATGTTGTATAGTTATAACAGTATATTTAAGCAGATAATAACAACTTTAATGGCATACAAAACCTTTATACTTTTACACTTCCTGCTCTTCATTTTATTGCATTTATGTCACATGTTACATATTCTTATATGTTTTATCCCTTAGCATTTTTTATTTTTATTTTTATACATTAATCATTTAATTTGTATACTAGGATTAAAAGTAATTCACGTACTACCTTTACAGTATAACATTTTGTACTGTCTATATATTTTCCTTTATCAGCTTGTTTATGCTTTCATGTGCTTTTATGTTGATGCTTAGCATCCTTTTGTTTCACCTTGAGTAACTCATTTGTTCCTTTGTGTGGATTATGTTTCCTTATTACTTTATTTTTATTTACTACTTGTTTTGGTATCGACAGATGATAAGAACAACGGCTTCCTCTCCAAGTCCTCCCAGTGTGGCCTCATATGGGAGAAGGCATTCATCATTAGCCTAGCCAGAGATTCATGGGGTCTTTAAGACCTCTCTGTGTATGCATCCTCTCTGGACTTGTGCATGTACATTTCGAACGTGATTTTCTGCTTTCTTTTTTTAGAAATGTATAATTTCTTGCTTCCTCTGTCATCTATCGGCTGTACCATGTGCCTTCTGGAGTAGCAGCATGCACAAACTCATTTTCCTGTTATCAGTACCCCCCAGGCATCTACAGTGTGTCAGAATCCACCTATGCTCTGAGACAGGTGAGACTGAGTTCATTCCCTCAGGCAACCACCTAAAAAGTTTTAAATTTGACAAATGTGTTAGTCATATCTTTCTCTTCCCAGAGATAAGCCAGTCACTGGGAGTCTTCTTGACTGTGTTATGCTGAGCTGGGAGTAGGCCTCTGATGGATGAGTTTGTACTAGCCTAAACTTTTGCCCTGTTCTTAGCGTTCAGGCATCTAGAGTATGCTAGTTCCTACCAGTGTTCCCAGGGAGTTGAGACAGAAGCCAGTCCTTGGTGCGGCCCGCTGAAAAATTGGAATGTTGCATGCCAGGTCCAATGCTTTTCCTCCCCTAGGATAAGCTGTGAAAAGAGGTTTCTTCCCAATCATGTGGCACTGTACTGAGGGACAGGCTGTGAGAGGTAAGTGCACACTTCAAGCTATTGCTGTCTTCAGTGTTCCCCAGTCATGCAGAGTGTACCTGATCTCATCAGCACTCTGAGACTGGAAAAACAGAAGCCAATTCCTGGGTCAACCCCACAAAATTTGGAATGTTGGCTACATCATCCAAACTCTTTCCCTCTCCAGGGAGAAACTGGAATATGGAGGTTTCTGCAAGCTCGATCTGTGCAGAGCGAGAGAAAGGGGCTATGATAAATGAATATATGCTATTAAAAATCACCATCTTTGTTCTCGGCAGCCCCCAACCTGAGATCATCTTCTGTCAGTATCACTTGGTCAGCCTCCAGAAAGTGAGAACGTTGGACATATGCTCCACTCTTTTCCTTTTCTTTTTTTTTTTCTCCAGGGAGAAACTTTGATCTAGGGTTTATCTTCACATGGTGAGGTTGTGCAATGGAGAAACATAACAGTGTGACGGTGCTTCAAATTTTCCTACCAGCTTCTATGCAGCTGGTTTTGTGTGCTAAAGTGCAGGAGCCTCTCAACTGGTTCTTGGATTTCTCATAAGGAATAGTTTTTCCTTATGTTGTGAAATTGATGTGCCGTCTGGGAAAGCATGGCTTTGTATTTTACCTTCTTGCTGACAGCCTTCTGCAAACTTATTTTTAATTCCTGTTTGCTCTTCACAAAAATTTGCTAATTTTTAACATATTTTAATTGACTAAATTTTAATTTAAAAATTTGCTAATTTTTAACATATTTAATTTACTAAAATTTATGTGACTCTTTTATGACTTAATTTATCTTTTTAATAAAAAGGACAAAAGTAAGTAAATAAATAATGATGATAAAATAATTACTCTGTGATTATTATAGTAATGTGTTACCTTACTGAGATTTATCTTCAAATATTAGCTGAAGGGACAAAGAAGTGGATGATTAGTCCAGATGTAGTATAAAGCTGCAGGTTAAAAAGAAAGTGAAAATGGTAGGAAGAGGTAGCAGTGAGGGTAGAACTGAGATGAAGTATCCTGAGTGCAGTGCTTTCGGTAACACATATTTTCTTTGTTTATTTGTTATTATTCCCATACAGTCCAACTAGTTCAGTTGTATTTTTTTTTAAAGATAGATAGCTGTGCTTCAGTATCTGGACCAGATAGAATCTTTAAGTTTCAAATTATTTTAATGGTGATTTATGCATGAAAAGACTAAATGTTCTATACTCCATATATGATAAAATATATACTTAATATAAATACATTTCATAAAAATATGTAACTGAATATCCATGTGACAAAATTTACAAAAGAAAAAACTGTATTCATATTTTAACATGTATTGAAGTGATTATAATTTACTTAGGGGTTTGCGGATTAACAAAGGAGTACACAAGTAAACTTTCTTTACATTACTATATTTTAGTGTAGGTACAAATAAGCACAGTTTATTTTTATTTTTTAGAAAATGCTTATTCTTTTAGAAATGCTCATTATTTATCTGAGAATTTTTAAAAAATGCTCTGGAAGGCGCATAGGTTTCAGAAAGCACTGGCTTCTCATGCTTTAGTTATCCAAGTTTCTAAGGGGAAGTAATTTTTCTGTTGTTAAGTCTTTATACTTATTCATTTTAGTTCACCTTTTGGTTAAAATCTCTTGGATTAAACAAAACAGAAAGAAATGTCTTATCTAATGCCTTTCTCTGAGTTACATTGCAATAATATGCACACAATAAAGTAGTTTACTTACCAAGACATGAAAACTGCTTTTCAGCTAGAAATACAAATGTTCTCCTTGATTGAGTTTTAATGAAGACAGATATATACATCTGCAAATGTATATAGAGAAAGAGAGAACGCAGAGTGCTAGTACATGCATTTATGAGCCAGCAAGATGTGCAGGCTTTCTTTGTCTGATATTATTGTAACCCATGAGTTTGGATGTAAGTGAAGCATTAGTCTTACAGAGCAGCTTTTCCTACCACTCTATTTCTCTTCTTTTCAGCCTAGTGTCAAGCTTTCAAACCAAGCCCTCTTTTTCAGATTATCTGAGCTATCTATATCAGCCTTTTCTCAGCAATGAATATAAATGTTACATTATTTTCTGAAGTGTAATATTTACCACCCATATTCACTTTCTCTTTTTTTTTAGCCAAATATAGCTGTCTTTTGGTCTTTATAGACCTATACATCCATCCCCCTGACCATGAATGAATAGGCTTGGATTCAATTTCTTCAACCTAGCAACTTTGCCTGCTCTTCTGTAAATTTAAATTTGACTCCTGGCTTTGAGATTATTGCACAAGCCTGACAATCAAATAAAACATAGTCCTTCTTCTATAAAGTGCTATTTTCTTACACATGTCCAAACACAAACACCCACAAACCCTTAAACATGCATGTATTCCACCAAATTATATCATATTAGAGTTATCTTTCTTTAGCAAAAAGTCTCTTCCAAAATATGACTACCAAAATTATTAAGTCTTTTATAAGATGAATAAAATCAGACAGTTTAATATTTAGAGCTGATGCCTTTAATCTTTAGCATTTTGTATTTTTTTTCCCTTGACAATCTAATTTCTTCCCCACAGTTCGCCAAGGCTGTAAACTATAAGTGAAGTAGAAAGGTATGACAATCATATTACAAAATATTGAAAAGGTTAAAGTAGTAAAGCACCTTTCCCAGGATATATGAGACATTAAGATTTTGGTATTTTATATTAGTGAAGAGATTACATTGAAAAAGGTAAATGGCACAACAAAAAGTCATTATTTTTAAACAGAAAGTTCATGAGGATTCTATATGATAATCTTTCTTTTGGTCTTGAATCTTAAATAATATTTTTATAGTAATTTTAACTTAATTTAATTTAAGCACAGCTAGAATTTATGTATGCATACATGTTTATAAGTTAAATATATATGTATTTATCTCACACTTTAATGTACTGTCTAGACTCACTGTAATATTGTCAATTGTCAATACAATATTCTTTATATTAAAATAAGATTTTTGATATATTTGGGGGTTACATTCTGTATGATAGAACCCTAACTGGTTTTATTGTTAAGAGTTCAAAGGGCTTTTTAGCTGTGACAGTCCTTCCTGGATATTTGTGTTGAAGTTTGATCTCACTTACATTTCGCCTTAGCCATGTTCTCTTGCCCTAAGATCCAGATTATTACAGCAGAGGTTAGTCAATGCTCTCAAGACTTCCAACCCTGAGGACTTAATGAACGTGGCAATCTAAACACAGGAACTTGTCTAATTGATTATTTCCCAGGATGACAGTGAATGCAATTTAAGAACAAACTTTTATGGCAAGTTGTAACTGAGATTTACATTCATTCACTCAAAAGCATTACTTTAACATCTACTGTCTGCTGGGGCATTGTTCCAGACAAGCAATTCTCAAAGTGTGAACCATGTTACAATACAAGGGTCTTAGAGATTAAAAAAAATCATAATAATATTATGATATCTGCTTTTTTCACTTTCCATATCTCAAGAGAATAAAGTCTTCCAGTGAAGTCTTCCAGGAGCTAAAAGATATATCACAAAAGATTGTATATAAAAACAGTTATGAGAATCTAGCTGCCTTCTAGTAAGTCAGACATTAAAGAGATGCACAAAAATATAATATAAAGCCACTATTTCTCAATAAACATTTTTGTTTGGGAAAGTGTAATCTTTAATCTTTTAAGTGTGATCTTTTAAGTAAGTTAATAAGTGTATAATTTAATTTAAGTAAGTTAATAATCTTTTAAATAAGTAAGTGTAATCTTTTAAGTAAGTTATTTTTGCTATCATGTGTAATTATAGTTAATAACTGGAATAGAATAAGTTTAAATATTGCTAAGTTTGAATTCCTAATACCATAAATTTTGACAGCTAT
Organism: Homo sapiens; assembly: GCF_000001405.40. Lineage (NCBI taxonomy): Eukaryota > Metazoa > Chordata > Mammalia > Primates > Hominidae > Homo > Homo sapiens. The sequence goes on from NW_003315968.2 coordinate 102,294, forward strand.
ACACAAAAATGACATGTGGATTCATTAATAATATTTAAGGGTATAAAGGGGTCCTGACACCAAAAGATTTGTGAGCTGCTGTTCTAGGTTCTAGAATCTTAATCAGTTTTCTTCTCCTGTTCTCATGAATCCATTATGGAAGTAGTATAGACTATTTTAGAATGATCCTTAGCTATATTACTGTTATTTCCTATTTTAAGCTTTGAGAAAAACTTGTTTTCAACTCTCAAGCAGTTCATGCCAGTTCCTGGAATAAAAAGAACATCTGGGAAAAATCCCAATTAGTGTTGTTTTGTCCTAGTTCTCTTATTTCCAGTTTTTCCTTAGAGATACAAACGAAAGACCCCTAATTATAGATTTTAAAGTTTTCCTTATCCTCTTCCATTTGGCTACTAGGTGATTCTACTGTGTAAAAACTTAGCTCCACCTTTGCACAGTGGAAGTATGCTAGCTGATGAGGTTTATCTGAGGTGCAAGTATTGCTAATTCAAAACTTTTCCCAATACCCGGCCATGATGACTTGAAATATGGTCGACATTGGCAATTTTCGACAGTCTCTGCAGAGAATGAACCATCTTTGTTTAAAAAAACGAAAACAAACAAAAAAACAAAAAAAAACTTAGCTCCATGTAAAGGACTTTACATCTAACTTTGTGTTGAATGTACGGTCACATAATTTTACAAACCTCTTCCGTTTAACTTGCCCAGCTGTGTAATTAACGATGGTACAATATGCAGTTCTAAGACCCTTGCAAGCCAAATTACAAGTCTTCAGACCCTTACAAGTCTAAGACCCTTACACTTCTAAGACCCTTACAAGTCTAATTATTTTGCGTTTTTTGTTTCATATTTACTGCCCCACAAGACAATATATATCCACATTGTAATATACAAATTATATAAATTCCAGGCCGCCCACGGTTTTTTTTTTTTTTTTCTTTTGCCATTGTGTTTTCTGGCTCTACCACTGATTTGTACACATGCCTTTCTCCTCACAAATATTTTCTCATTCGGGCATCAAGAGAAACCATTTTCCACAGGCTTTGGAGAGAGACCTTGGTTGGAAGCCCAGCTCCGCCATGAACTACTTATTTGATCTCTGGCATGTTATCAGCATTTCTAGATCACTAGTTTTTCATCAATGGAATGAAAATAATTACAGTACCTGTCTTATAAATTTGTTATTAGAACAATATGGATTAAAGCATGAAACTATTTTGTAAACATTCTAGCACAATGAAAATTTTCAAGAAATGCTTGTTGTTATGATTTTTTTGTTTATTGTTAAGCCACCAAACCTGATGACTTTCATTTCTGCCCATGAATGTCTCTGTATTCTGAAATCTTTCAGTCTAAAATATGCATTAATATTTTCTTTGCAAACTTGTATGCAAGTTACTTATGAAACAGAGCAGGCTAAGGCCGATTGGTGTTGGAATTTTTTAAATGAATACTATCATTTGTTATATGGATTTTTAAATTTCAGATATTAGTTGTGCTCTTTAAGCTGATAGGAAAATAATATTTTGGTATTTTTTTAAGATGAAAGCTGAAATTTGGAATCAGGATGTTTTTAAGTAAAGATAAAAAGGACATGCAGCCAATCAAATCAAATCAAACTTGAGATTATAATTATGAAATAATTTCATGTGAAAATCCTAATTCCAATTTTGTCATGGACGAAGGTATCTATTGCTAACATGAAATTTGATTAAAATGTAAATTATTGTTTGAGCTAACTAATCCAAACCTAGAAAAAGTACAAAAGCATCAAAATGAAAACAGGTTTGAATGTTTGCTTTATTGATAATTATCCCATTAATCACTACCAAACTTCAATATTTTAAAAATAAAAATCAGCCTCATGTATTTAGTTTTTTGTTTGCTTGTTTGTTTAAAAGTAAGCTCAGCTGGACAAGAAAGTAATTTTAGCAAGAAGAACCTTTGGCTAAGACCTAGTCTACCTGTCCTTGAACTTTAGACATCATATGTTCCAAAGTTATTTCAATCAATTTTAAAATCTATGCAACAGGAAAGTAACAGTATGTTCTATTGTATGGGTTAAGTCTCACAAATAATGCACTTGCATGTATATGAGTTCTTTCACTTATTCAGTTCTTTTCTTAAAATATGATCTCCTCAGAGAAGACTTAATGACCACCTGTCATTAATAGCTGCTTTCACTCTCTTCATCTTACTCTGATTTATTTTTTCCACAACAATTTTAACTCCTGAAAAATTGTATTTCTTAATTTGTTTATTGTTTATTATATATCTCCACTAGATTGTAAGCCAGTGAAAGCAAGGGTTTGTTTCTGTACTCTGCTATACATATTTCCAGCTTCTAAAAGTAGTCCTGGTATATAATAGGTTCCTAATAAATATTTGTCCAATGAATAGATCAATGAGTGTATTTAGAAGTAGAATTTCATTAAACATTTTTAGAAGCATTTAACATGTTTTACATATCTTAAGATATAATTTTATTATTATATTAATTCAACTTTGCAAGAGTGCACAAATAAATGACCGTAATGAATACATGTACATGTTTTTAAAAACTGGGTAGTCTGATTTAATGGATGTGAGCATAAACTTATTTCAGAGTTTATTCATATTTAAGTGTCTTCCTTATAAAATACAATGAAGTTGTGAAAAGTACAGGTCTATCATTTTAAAATATTTAAGAAAAATTTAAAAAGTTGTCTAATTCATCCATTTTTTTGAAATATATGTTTTAAAATCTCAAAATAAGCACCCATTTAACTAAGTAAATATGAGTGCTAGTCATTACTGGTCAGTTACATTTTTTCCACCTTGAAAATTGTACTTGAAGTTTGAAAATAGACTAAATAACTGCAAAACTTTAAGTAAAATATATGCATATTTGCTACAAGTCTACCAAGTGAAATTAACAAATACAACTGCTTTTAAATAATCATCTACCATTTATAATGTCATATTTTCATTTATTTAAATTCTAGGATTTATTTTTCTTGAGTTATAACAACACCCCCATTTATTATTTCACAGTTTCTATCGATCAGAAGACAGGCAGAGTGTAGCTGCTTCTCTGTTCAGGGTATTACAAGGCTAAAACCAAGGATTAAGCCAGATTGCATTCTCATCTGGAGTATAGGAGCCATTTTTAAAGTTGAAAATGTATTGATACCTAAATAATCTTTCTGTACTACTTGTTATTTGATGCTTTTTTAGTACCAAATATTTGATACACCTTACACCTTTAAGGCGTAAGGTGATATTTTAGTGACTTATCTAACCCTCCTGAAATTTATTCAACTTTTTTCTCTATTCTGTGTCCTATAACTTTCCATCACTTGATTTTTCATCCTATTGCCAAATACTACACTCAACTTAAAAAGTCTTGACTGCAAATGTTTCTGTGTTTTTAATTTCTAGAATTATAATAGGTATCTTATTTCTCACAATATATTTAATATTTGAAAAAATGATTTTTGAGTTATAAAGTACTTTTAAAACTTTGAAGTATTTGACATTTTAAAATAGAAAGATGTTTATGATGAGAATCATTAACTTTGGGTTTTAATAATCCTCTAAGCACTATTTACACAAAAAATTCTTTTTTAAAAAAATTCAACAGGATTTTTGGGAAGAGGTGGTGTATGGTTACATAAATAAGTTATCTAGTGGTGATTTCTGAGATTTTGGTGCACCCATCACCCGAGAAATGCACACTGTCTCCAATTAGTAGTCTTTTATCCCTCACCTCCCTCCCACCCTTTCCCCCGAATCCACAAAGTCCAATGTATCATTCTTATGCTTTTGCATCCTCATAGCTCAGCTCCCACTTATGAATGAGAATATACAATCTTTGGTTTTCCATTCCTGAATTACTTCACTTAGAATAATGGTCTCCAATTCCAGCCAGATTGCTGTGAATGCCATTATTTTATTCCTTTTTATAGCTGAGTAGTATTCCGTTATATATAAATATAATTATATATAAATATAATATAAATATATATTATAATATGTAAAATATATATTTACATTATATATATAATTATATATAATATAAAAATAAATTATATACATTTATATATAAATATATACTTATATATACTTATATGTTATATATAATTATATATGTTATATATAAGTGTATATAGTATATACACATATATATTTTTATATATGTATAAGTATATATATACTTACACTATATATACTTATACTATATATAAGTATATACTTATATATATACGTATATATACATAAGTATATATGTATATATATAAGCTTATATATAATTATATATACTTATATATATTTATATTATATATAAATTTTTATAGCTGAGTAGTATTTATATATATAGATATTTATATTTTTATAGCTTAGTAGTATTCCATTATATATATTATATATTATATATATCATTATATATAATATATATGAAATATATATTCCATTATATATAATATATAATATATATTCCATCATATATAATATATATAATATATATTCCATCATATATTATATATAATATATTCCATTGTGTATTATATATAATAGATATACCATTATATAATATATAATATATTTTCCATTATCTATTATATATAATATATATTCCATTATATATATTATATATATAATGGAATACTACTCAGTATAAAAATTTTATTTATATATATAAAATTCCATTTTATATAACACTTGTTGATTGATGGGCATTTGGCTTACTTCCATACTTTTGCAATTATGAATTGTGCTGCTATAAATGTGTGTGCAAGTATCTTTTTTGTATAATGACTTCTTTTCCTGTGGGTAGGTACCCAGGAGGAGGATTGCTGAATCAAATGGTAGTTCTACTTTTAGTTCTTTAAGAAATCTACACAGTTTTTCATAGCGTTTGTACTACTTTACATTCCCACCAGCAGTGTAAAACTGCTCCCTTTTCGCCACATCCCCACCAACATCTATTATTTTTAATTTTTTTTAATTATGGCCATTCTTTCAGGCATAAGGTGATATTGCACTGGTTGGGTTTTTTTCCTTTTTCTTTTTCTTTCTTTTTTTTTTTTTAAGACGGAGTATCGCTCTGTTGCCCGGGCTGGTGTGCAGTGGCGCGATCTCGGCTCACTGCAAGCTCCGCCTCCTGGGTTCCCGCCATTCTTCCGCCTCAGCCTTCCAAGTAGCTGGGACTACCGGCGCCCGCCATCGCGCCCAGCTCATTTTTTTGTATTTTTAGTAGAGAGGGGGTTTCACCGTTTTAGCCAGGATGGTCTCGATATCCTGACCTTGTGATCCGCCCGCCTCGGCCTCTCAAAGTGCTGGGATTACAGGCGTGAGCCACCGCGCCCGACCTATTGGTTTCTTTTTTTGACACGGAGTCTCACTCTGCCACCCAGGGTGGAGTGCAGTGATGCAACGTCTCCCTCTTGGGTTCAAGCAATTCTCCTGCCTCAGGCTCCCAAGTAGCTGGGATTACAGGTATGGGCCGCCACACCCAGACAATTTTTGTATTTTATTAGAGAAGAGGTTTACCATGTTTGCCAGTCTGGTCTCGAACTCCTGACCTCAAAAAATCTACCCGTCTTGGGCTTCCAGAGTGCTGGGGTTACAAGTGTGAGCCACTGCACCCGGCTTGCATTGTGGTTTTGATTTGCATTTCCTTGATCATTAATGATGTTGAGCAGTTTTTCATATGTTTGTTTGCCATTTGTGTATCTTCTTTTGAGAATTGTCTATTCGTGTCCTTTGCCCACTTTATGATGAGATTGTTTTTATCTTGCTGATTCGTTTGAGTGACTTGTACATTCTGGATATTAGTTCTTTATCAGATGTATAGATTGCCAAGATTTTCTCCCAATATGTGGATTGTCTGTTTACTCTGCTGATTGTTTCTTTTGCTGTGCAGAAGCTTTTTATTTTAATGAAGCCTCATCTATTTATTTTTAGTTTTGTTGCATTTGCTTTTGGGTTCTTGGTCATGAGGTCTTTGACTAAGCCAACGTCTAGAAGGATTTTTCCAATGTTATCTTCTAGAATTTTTATGTTTTCAGATCTTAGATTTAAGTCCTTGATCCATCTTGAGTAGATTTTTGCATAAGGTGAGAAATGAGGATCCAGTTTTGTCCTTCTACATGCGGCTTTCCAATTATCCCAGCACCATTTGTTGAATAGGGTGTTGTTTCTCCACTTTATGTCTTTGCCTTGTCGAAGATCAGTTAGCTATAAGTATTTGGGTTTATTTCTGGGTTCTCTATTCTGTTCCGTTGATCTATGTCTATGTGCCTATTTTTATACCAGTACCATGCTGTTTTGGTGACTATGGCCTCCCTGGTGTGAAACCCACTTGATAATGGTGGATTATCTTTTCGATATGCTGTTGGATTCAGTTAGCTAGTATTTTCTTAAAGATTTTTCCATCTGTATTCATCAAGGATATTGGTATTCTTTTTTTTTGTTTTGTCTTTTCCTGGTTTTGGTATTAGGGTAATACCAACTTCATAGAATGATAGCAGAAAGATTTCGTCTTTCTCTGTCTTGTAGAATAGTGTCAACAAGATTAGTACCAATTATTTTTCAAATGTCTAATAGAATTCAGCTGTGAATTCATCTTGTCTGTACTTTTTGTTGGCAATTTTACTGTTTTATATACTTAAGCAGATAGGCCCCATTACGTACATTTTCTCAAGATAAGCAGTAACTAGTTCTCAAGTAAGAGGACTTAATGGCATCTTTTATTACACATCCTAAATTTATATGGAAATTGGGGTAACCATCTATGTTAGCACAATTGAGCAACCAGTTAACAATAATTTATTGTATATTTCATAATATCTAAGAGAGGATTTGAGATGTTTCCCCCCAAAAAGATAAATATTTAAAGTGACAGATATCCCAATTACCCTGATTTGATCATTACACTTTTTATACTTCCACCAAAATATCATATGTATTTTATAAATATATACAACTATTATGTATCCATAAATTAAAAAACAAACTTCTTAATCTCAAATAGAGTAAAATGATAAACTAAGGAACAGAGGCAAAAATAGTATATGTGTCTTCGGGCAAAATATTAGTTTTGAAAATAAACAAATAAAAACACAAATATAGCAGACATTGGATTAGACCTCTAAAGGAGGCAGGATGTTTGAATTGAAGAATTACTCCCTTTACTTTTACTTGTTTCTTTCTCTGCCCTTCTTATTGTGATCTCAGTTGCCACAATTATATCTGCAACCCAGAACTCTGTGAAGGCATATTGGTGAAGGCTCAAAGTCATTAAATTTTGAACAGATGTTTATCATTTGACGCAGCACCAATGTTGACAACACTAGTCACTGTCACAATGACACTGGCTTGTCGAAGGGCACTGGTGGAAATGGAGAAAAATTAATGACATAACATTTGCAGAGAACTTACTATACTTACTGTGTATCTGTCACTGTGTTCAATACTTTGCCAGAATCTCCTAACAACAGCTCTGAGATACAGGTTCTATCAATAATTTATCATCACTGTATAGTTAAAAAAATTTGGGCTTATTCAAGATCATACTGATAATAAGTGGTAGATCCAGGATGTGGGTCCAATTGATATGTGGCCAGAGCCTGTGTACTGTGCAAATTTCTAAGGTGTTATACTTGTCTAGTCTCCCCATCACTGTATGTATGTATGTCTTGAAAATTGATGAAGCCACCATTGCCACTGCTGACACTTCACGTTAGCTGTGCATTCCTCTTAGGAACAGCTCACCTCAATCATGCAAATTTCAATAGATTAAAACCTTAACAACCTCCTAATCTAATAACCTTTGTTATATGTCATTAATAAAACATCTCCTTTGGTTTGACTTTTATTTGCAGTGTTTGTCCTTAAAACTTAGGCATAATGAAAGAATCCAAACTGGCAAGAGGCAGCCATTATGGTCTCTTCAAAATTTCTTCACTCTATTTTCCTTTGTCCTAGAAAACTCTTGAGTTCTCCCTGAAAGGAGACTAAAGAACAATCCTCTGCAGATGTGTCTGAATCCTAAAATGAACTTAAGGTATGTCTAAGAAGGTTCCACAAGAATTCCTAGACTTCTAAGATATTTTTGTATTCCAATATTTAATGTAGTATTTATATTAGATTGTGTATAAGTTGCTACTTGTTGGGAAATTTTGACTTATTGCCTTATTCTCTTCATTTTTAGATTTTTAGTTCATAGAAAAATAAATTGTTTAATTCTCAATGCCAAATATTTGATGAGAATCCAAAGAGGAATTAAAACTATATTTGTTACTGTCATTCTAAAACTTAGCTACATGCTTTAGCTTTTCAGATACAATTGTGACAGATATAGTACACATTGCTCTTTTGAAAAGTTTGAGTAAAATAAAATAATGAAAATGCAAATATTTAAACTTATAAGCTGATTTTTCTGTTTGGTGAACTTGTAGCAGAACTCTGCTTCTGCACATAATATTCTTTTAGAAACCATGTATTATTTCTCAATGTTGATTTATATTATCATATTCTTATAAACTGTACTATGTTTCTGTTGTATGAATGCATTTGTACAACTCTGTGCATATGCCAAGCTTGAATAGGAAGTATTGAAAATAGAGCAAAGAGGATTTTTATTTAATCTGAAGGAAAGATTATATAAAATATATATTTACTTTTGATAAGTAAGATTATATGTTAAATCTCACCTGAGGTATTTTAAATAGCCCAGAGTTTGAGAAATGCCTTACTGATGATTGTCCTTTTTGGGGTCATCAGAATTGACTACATTTCTTTGGGTAAATGTGGGTTGTTTCCCTGAAGGTATGGATTCCCCAGCAGATAGTCTTTTGTGGAATATGAAAATTTATTACCTAAAATCCTGCTGTGGGAAGGAGACCATAGGCTGGAGAGAGGAAAAAAAAAAAAAAGACCTTCTTCCTTCTGCTGGTGTGCAGTTAGTTTGGCCCACATTCTAAGGGATGGACAGAAAGACCTGAGACTCTTAGTGATGGTGGCATGAGGGGTAGGTGAGTTCTCCTTTGCCAAGTGGAGAAATGCTAAAAGCCTGCCAAGAGGTGGCCTGCAAAGGGACTTGTGACGTGTTTCAGACTGTGCAGTACTTGAATATTATTTTTCACGGTAAGTTCTTTCATCTAAGGGAAAGTTTTGAATACCGGCTTATTAAATGAAGTAATTTTAGTATTTGTGAAAGCAATTAGGGATTTTTTTTGTCTATTGTTGGGGTGAAGTATAAATGTATATAAAAGTGCATATTCACTACAGCACTCTTTGGGCATTGCAACCTATCAGTCTCACAAGGGCCAGAGACAGGAAGCAGGGAGAAGAAGAAGAAGGGCTCTGAATTAAAGGATGCCTAAGACTTGTTTTCAGTATGCATAAACTGGAATATTGGTACCTTCCAGAAGTAGTTGGCAGGTAAAACTAAGGGAAACTAATTTCCTTAGGTAAAAATAGGGTGGGTGCAGTAGGACCATGAATACAGAATTTGTAGCATATACATCTAAATTTCAATTTAGCAAAGAATCCCAAGAAGAAAATTACATGCAATCACTTTCTACAGTAATTTTCCTCTAAGTTCCCTGTCCTTAAAAGAAGCTAATATGATGAAGTGGCTGAATAGACCTAGTAGGAAGAGATGCTAAAGAATGGGATTATAGTAATTTATTATTCAATCATCTATAAGATAGTTTTACCTATATGTAACATAAATTAGGTAGCAAAATTACCTGGGGAAAAATAACATCAGTCTAGTGGCCGAGAATGAAGAAATATCTACAGGGAAAACTCATCTCTGGCAAGCAGAAAAGATGAGATTTCATAAAATGAGGTTTAAGGGGAATAGTTCACTTTCATTGGTTTTTTCCATGTAGCAGCTCAAGATATTAGAAAGCAAAAAAACAAGATTACCAAAGGATAAAGAATGGGAAATTAAATAAAAGAACACTATCAAGTTTGAATTAAATTCAACACCTATTTAGGTGAGTTACCAGAGAGCTCAGTTTTAAGAATCAAGCAAATCTTGAATGTATACCTAGTAGATACATCATGATGCGTTTTTTCTTTTAGAACTATTCTTTTATGTTTTTTTCTTTCCATTTCCACGTGATTTGTTTGAGACAGTCAGTGAGGACACCACACCCTTCACCCAACCCCAATACACACATAGTAACAGAAGAGGCGTATTTGCCAGTTTTCCATAATGTCCATGATGGGCCAATGGGAATTTTTTACTTGAGAATGAGAATTTTTAGAAAAGATACATGGAATTTTAGATGGCTATTTTTAAGTGACCTGATCAGTGAATGTGTTTCAAAAAAAGCTTTGATAAGCCCTTATGCTTTATGTTATTAGTTGTATATTTGCAATATATATACAGTCATCTGCCACATAACATTTCAGTCAGCAGTGGACCTTGTATACAATAACGGTTTTATAAGATTATAATACTCTATTTTTACTGTGCATTCTCTATGTTTATATATGTTTAGATACACAAATACTTATCATTGTGTTACAACTGCCTATAGTATTTAGTAGAATCACATGCCATACAAATTTGTAACCTAGGAGAAAAAGAGTATAACACATAGCTTGGATTGTTGTAGACCCTACCATCTAAGTTTGTGTAAGGATACTCTGTGATATTAGCGCAATGATAAAAGTCACCTAATGACGCACTTCTCAGAGTCTATTCTGTTTTTAAGTGACACATCACTGTACATATATTCTTTTTAATGATTATTAATTTCTCAATTTGGACCCATGAAAAACTATTATATTCTTTTAATAACTGCTCACTCTTTCACTAGAGCTTCCTGAAAGCTGGTTCCATTTTCCAAAGTCAGATAACATTATCTAATAGAGGATATGATATAAATGTTGCCAGAAATTTGTCCAGAAGGACAAATTTAAGAATGTTAAATATTTCATGCAGTTCTTGTGAGTAAGTTACTATGGACAATATACTACCATATAGATACTCACAAAAATTATAGGTTAAGATCAAACATGAGATGACAGTCAATTGCATTCAAATGATTACACACACACACAGACACACACACACACACACACATATATATATAATACTGATTCATGAAAATAAATATCTCACTTTATTGTAAGAATGAGAATATAGCCATGTGGCAAAATAGGAATTGAAAAGGAATTTGTCAGTGGAGACCTTTGCTGTAATATGAACATTTAGATAAATTGGCAAAGATTTACAAAATCTTCTACTACTGTCAACTTGCTCATGCTAGATGACTCTTTCCTAGGTAGCATATCTCATCTAAACAAATTCAAACATTTGTAGTTGAGTTAAACAAAATATATTTGAGCACATTTTCTGTTGAAATGTTAATTCATAGAGTAAAACATTAATTTACAATTTGGAAGAATTGCAAGTAGAAAATCATGTTATAAATGTATTGAATCATTATGTTCTCCAATGCCTAGTCCATATGTATTATTTTTCCAAATTTAAAGAGGTCAGATTTTTAAAAAATACAATGTTTTTTGAATCTTCCCATGTTTAGCTCCCCTCTAATTATTTTAAGAGCTAATGTCATTATTAAAGAAGACATTTTGAAGATCCTCTTCCAAGACTCTTCCAGGCATTTACTAATTTTGTGACATATTTTTGTTAGAAAGCATCTGGAAATTGGATCTCAGTGACTTACCAAAAGAAATTAAATATATACATACATATATGTGTGTATATATGTATGCATATATGTATATATACGTATATGTGTATATATATGGTTTTACATTTAAGTACAAGGAATAACATTTAAATACCTTTGCACTGTCTTCTTTAATATAACATTGTATTTCAAAAAAGAAATAAAATATTAGATCCAATTTTTATTATGCTACATAAGAAAACATGGAAAATTAAATAATGGCATCTATATTGTTTTCCTGTTACTGCTGTTAATAAATGATTACAAACTTAATGGCTTAAAACAACAAAAAATTATTATCTTATGGTTCTAGAAGACAGAAATCTGAAATGTATCTTATGGGTTCAAATCAGGGTGTCCTCAGAACTGCATTTTCTCTGGAGACTCTAGAGAAGATTCCATTTTCTTACATTTTTCAGCTTCTAAAAGCTACCTGCATTCTTTGTTCTGTGACTCCTTGTTTTATCTTCAAAGCACATCACTCATAACTCCACTCTTTATCTTTATATCACCTCTCCTCTTTGACACTCTGATAGTTTTGTCTACTTTTGTCAAGAACACTTGTGCCTGTATTGGGCCCATTGGGATAATCCAGGGTAAACTCCCCATTCAAGGTCCTTAATATAATGACAGGCACAGAGTTCCTTTTGCTAAGTAAGATAATGCAGTCTCACGCTGTATGGTTTAAGACCAACCTGGGGGAGGCATTTTTTAGCCTACTATACTGTTTCTAGCCTTAGAAAAAGGCACAATTTTTTAATGGCCAAGAAGTAAAACAGAATTAAAACCATAATCTCAGTGTTAGGATGCTGTCTCTCAATTCCATTTAAATATTCTTGTTCTTAAAGCTATGTAACAGATCAAATTATTTAGAAAATAGTGCTATTAAGTGCAAAGTGAGTTGTTGGAGAGGTCAACAACATGACGGTTGTAGGTACCTTAATAAGAAACAAACAAGACAGAAAAATAGTTTGAACTAATAATCGAACTAATTGCGGAAATTTGAAGAGGGACTTAAAAATAATAAATTAAGCAAGTTTACCAATACTGCTAAAAGAATGAGCTAAAAATACACAAATGATTGGATTGATAACTGGTAGAATAGGGAAAAATAAATTTAAAATGTAAGAAATATTTTAAAATATTGACTCAAAATATCCTTGAAGGATCTCAGGATGGAATATAGACAATTATATAAAAATTTAAAATATTAAAAAGTATTACTAGTAGTGCAGGGAAAGAGGACATGGGAAGATGTTGGTCAAAGGGTACAAAATTACAGTTACACAAGATGAATTTCAAGAAATGTACTTACATACGCCACCCTTAAATATGTGGACCATAATTTTCTACCCCATAATTGTGTCCCAGTCTCTTTCAAGGAGTACTGTAGAAAAGTGGAGCTTCAAGAAAATAACTACACAGTGAAGAAGCCTGACAAACACCATTTCAGCCAGTTGACCAAGGTTAACATCATCAGTGATGTCATCCTGATAGCATGCACCTTATTATGGTGTAATCAGAATGGCATTTTACCTGTGTGGTCTTCCACCCAAGAACTCCTAATCCCAATCTAATATTGAGAAAAATATCAGAGGAACCTTAATTGATGAACAGTCTACAAAATATCTAACCAGTGTTCGTCAAAACTCTCAAGTCACATAAAACAAGGAAAATATGAGAAATTGCCACGGTCTAGAAATGTCTAAGGAAACATGATGACTTAAATGTAATTTGATATCCTTGAAAGAATACTGGGCAGAGAATTACCATTAGGTAAAACTGAGGAAATTTAAGAAAAGCATGTACTTTGGTTCATCACAATGTATCAACAGCATAGTGAATGTATCGTGCTAATATAAAACGTTAATAAGAGGGGAAACCGGAATGGGGTATATGAGACCTCATTGAACTAGCTTTGCAAGAATTTCTACAAATGTGAAACTGTTCTAGAATACAAATTAATTAAGGTAAATCAATTACCCTGGAAAACTCGGTAGTCTTCTCCATCATCACTTTTTCATTGAGAAATATCTTGTCCAGGATATCAGTTATTTAATAATAAATAATTATTTTACTGTGATAAAATGTATGAAACTTAAAATTTGCCGTTTTAATCATGTTTAAGAGTACAGTTTTGTAGCATTACATACACTTACATTGTTGTGCAACTATTATCATTATCCATCTCCAGAACATTTTTATCTTTCCAATTGAAACTCTATTCTCATTAAACAAAAATGTCCCATATCCCCATCTCTGCAAGTTCTTTCTCTACGAATTTGACTACTCTAGGTTGCTTATATAAATGGAATCATAATAATATTTGTCATTTTGTGTCTGACTTATTTTACTAAACACAATTTCTTCAAGATTCATTCATGTTGTGACATAGCAGAATTTTCTTTGTTTTAAAGGCAGAATAATATTTCATTTTATGTGTGTACCAGGTTTTGTTTCCATTTATCTTTCAACTAACATTATGGTTGTTTCTACCTTTTGGCTAGTGTGAATAATGCTGCTATGAATATTTCTGTACAAATATCTCTTTGATTTTCTGCTTTCAATCCTTTTGAGTATATACCCAGAAGAGGAATTGATGGATTATACATAATTCTGTGTTTACATTCTTGAGGAATCATCATAAAATAATAACTTATTATTAACAAGAATTAGACCACCTGAGAAACATACACTATAATATTAAAAGAGGTTAAAAGAAAGATAACATTTTAAAAAACTCTTCACTTAATGTTCTTTTGGCAAAAGAGAATTGTAACTAAATATTATAGAAGAAATTTAAAAGGAAGAATAAAGCACTTTAATAAAGGAAGATTATAAAGTAGACATGCAAGAACACAGAGTAGATAAGGCACAAGAAAGATGAAAATAAAATATGAGTTTATAAATTGAAAGATAGCATCTTATATCAAAAATAATTGATCCATAATTGTAAAAACAGAAACAAATCTTATTACTTTTTATGGAACTTTGAAAATAATGAAAAAATATTTGCACCTCTTCTTAGGTAAAACAAATCTAAGTAATTTATAAGTAGCATGATAACAATATATCAAAATTTCATGGAAAAGTTTTAGTACATAAATGTCTAAAATTAATATAAATTATGTTTTTTAAATTCCGTATGTCCTCATCTTGATAACAAACCCATTGTTCATCCAAGCAATTGAAAAAAAAATCAGATTGGCCTTGGATTTCTCTAGAGTCATTTGCAGTACCAGTAGACTGTAAAGATCTTAGATAGTTTCACGCGAACTTCTGCAAAATATAAAATAAAAAAAAAATTTGCACCTCTGCTACTCTGATGAATACACAGCCAAAATATAGCCTAGGGCACGTGCATTGACCTAATTCCCTCCTGAATAAATATACAGCCAAAAGTCCCTCAAACAAAAAATGAATGCTAAATAATCCTACTTGTATCTCTGTATACTCTTTAAATGGAAATTTAATGGAGACAAAACATCCCCATACAAATTGAAAATTGAGAATACGTGTTTAATTTTTTTCCTGTATGTAATGTATATAATATGTTGCTAAGAAACAGGGAAATGATTTCATTTCTCTTACTACCTATCCGTATTTGGTATAATTTATAAGTAGTTAAAAATAGTTAATGTGAATTAACAGTGGAAATATTATGTCTTGCCAAAATAAGATGAGAGAAAATACAAGGTACCACCTCTATCCACCCATTACACTTAATATTTGACAGTAAGTTTGTTTGCAAGAAGATAGCAAGTCTACTAAATCCTGAAATGTCTTGTGTAGCATGAAAAATGCCATTCACTTTTCTAATATTTTGTCTCAAATTTGAAACAGCAAATATGATAAACATTTTAATCAGAGGTGAGAAATAAACATTTTAATCAGCGGTAAGAAATTTAATAGACTTTGAGCCCAGCCCTATAAATAATAACTGTGAGGTCACTATTAGTACTGACATCACAGGGTTTTGACTCATATGGTATAAGCCTATATATAATATTATTAAATTATACATGGAAAATAATAAACACCATATTAATATTAGCTGTTATTATTATATGAGCCATATTCAATGAATGTTTGTCAGAGTTCTTCAGTGGCAGGCAAAATTCTGAGTACTATATACCAGTGACCAAAGCAAAGAGTCTTCCCGTTGTGAAATTTTTCTCCTAGGGATATGTTGGGGAAAGAGAATACAGGCAATACAATTTTTTATAATCATACTATCGTATTTATTATGTGATAAGTGCTAAGAAAAATAAATTAAAATTGAACAAGATATACCTAGAGCTCAATAAAATACTTTTAATTTCTTCTGATACAATAATTATTAAAATATAGAAAAAGTTATAATAACATAGTACAATAAAATGTAGAGCAAGTTATAAGGGGTTCACAGGACATAGTTGAGAATGGTTCCACTTTTAATTAATCAGAGTAAACCTCACTGAGTAAATAAATACACAAGCTGTGCACAAATAGAGCAATAGAAAGTTGGTGGGTTAATGAACAAGAAAGACCATCTTTATTTTGGAATATTCAATTTTGTAGCGGTATGCAAACCAAACAAAACAACTGCAGGCTGTGTTCTGTTTATCTGCTACTGTGTTTGACCTCTACTTTAAAACAGAAAATAACTCAGAGCGACTGCATTCTAAATTTAGTCTACTAGCTTTCAAAACATTTGTTTTGTCAGTGCTACACACAAGATTTTTCAAGTTAATATAAATGTGGTTGAAATGTATACTAGCTCATCCTTGAGCTATTGCATAGCCTCTTAACTAGTTGCCTCTCGTTGTCTTGTTTCTCTTTCCATCTTTCTTACCCAGATAAACTTTTTTAGATGAAATAAATGAATGCTTTACTCACTTGATCACAAGTAGTCAACTCTGCAGTCTACTAAGTCAAATCTAAACAGGTTAATCTCTACCATCCTGTGTCTTTTTCCCCAACTACACTTTCAAATGGCATATCATTTCTTGCACATCACTTATACTGTTGCATTATTCAGCCTTTCCTCACTTTTGTTACTGTGCCAGGACATTAATCAACTGCATACATTTCCACTGAAATAATATCCCATCTTTCAGTCTTATACAGCCAATTCTTCTGATTTTTACCAACAGAAATAAACTCTTCTGAAGTCCTACGTTTCTTTGTTGGTACTCTTTTTATAATATACTTCGGTTGTAATATAATTCCTCATATTGGTTTACATTCCTTGTGAGTTTGAACATTTTTTTGCAAATGAAACCTACATAGTTTTGTTTTCTACTCAGAACCAATCTCAAATAGATGATACTAAAGAAAAAAAATATGAGAGTATGAGAGTTGCCATTCTTGTATCCATCACCTTGTGCTCCGAATTAAACAGATAAATTAAATAGATGAAATTACTTTTTATGGAGATACTTTATTTTTACATGGACAAATATGCATGAGAAAACTAGCTATGCTTTATGCTGTTAATAAAGGAAAGGGTGAAAATAGAGTAGATATTACTACATAAGTAACTACTGCCTTTTATAGCTGAAAAAATTCATGTAGCCTATTAGAGAGAAAAAAAAGAGAGAGAAAAGAACAAGACAGAGAGAGAGAACAAGCAAAAGGGCAAGCACAAGAACAAGAGCATATCCAATATCAAATTCAACATAAATAAAACTGATAGACTCAATACCAATATAAGAATAATTTACATACTATACATTATATCAAAATATCAGTTATTTAATAGAAATTAACTCGATTGTTCAAGTTTGAATTACCATTTTTACATTTTAATTTTAATAAAGTCCAGTTTATCAAGTTTTTTTTCATGTATTCCATCTTTAGTATTGTTTCTACAAAGTCATCATTATACCCAAGATCATTTAGGTTTTTTCCTGGGTTATCTTCTAGAAGTTTTGTAGTTTTGCATTTTCGTTAGGTCTGTAATCCAGTTTTATGTAACTTTTCTGAGGGGTGTAAGATCTATCTACGTTTATATTTTTGTATGTAGATGTCCAGTTGTTCCAGCACCACTCGTTGAAAAAATTATTGTTGCTTCTTTCTATTGCCTTTGCTCTTTTTTCAAAGACAAGTGGACTATATTTATGTGGACCTATTTCTGAGCTCTCTATTCTGATCTATTGATCTGTTTTTTTTAATTCTTTGCCAATGGCACACTATATTACTGTAGCTTTATAGCAAGACTTGAGATTGAGCAGTGTCAGTCCTCTGACTTTGTTATTCTCCTTCAACATTTTGCTGTTTTGGATCTTTTGCCTCTCCGTATAAACTTTAGAATCTTTAGAAACTTTAATGATATCCATAAAATAACTTGCTAGAATTTTAAATGGGATTTCATTGAGTCCATAGATCAATTGCAAAGAACTGATATGTTGACAATATTATCTTTCTATCCATAAACATGGATAATTTAGTTATTTGATTTTTTTAATCTGAATCTTGTGGTTTTTCTTCATATAGAGTCTGTAAAAATTTTGTTAGATTTATATCTAATATTTCATTTTTGGGGTGCCAATTTTAAATATTATGTTTTTATCTTCTACATGTTTGTTACTGGTAATTATTATATTTTAAAGTTATATTGAGGAGATAATTGATATTAAACCTTTATAAATTAGACATACTCTCAATTTCATATAAATTTTCATGCTTTACATGTTGTTCAGAGTATTTAGCACAAATAATCTACTAAAAATAGAAACAGTAGCAGTAATATTAACAATTAAAGTGAATAAAGTTAAAGTAGAATAAGGAGAAATAAAAAACTTGACCTATAACCAATAACAAGGTTATAGAATTAGTTCTCAAAATTCTTCCCAGAAGGAAAAGCCTAGTTCCAGATGGCTTCATCAAGAAAGGAAAATGTTAAGAACTGAAATGTAATCTCTAATTCTCCCTCAGTGTGGAATACATAAGATTGTACTAGATATAGACTAATGTTCTTGATGAGATTGTTTAGTGAATGCTGTTCAAAGGATGTATCTGTCAAACATCTTGTCTGTGCTGTTGAAATGTTTTTTTACTTATCTATACTTGTTAAAATGCAGCAAAGGAATGAAACTAGTCTGACACTTCAAAGAGTGTTACATGCTTATCGAAGAGTGAAAGTGGAAAGAATGCAGAAATGAAAGTTTCTTTCTGAGTTGAGGTGGTTCCCAGTCAGCACTGATTACTGTAAAAAAGCACATTCCTGTGAAGTGTGATTAAAGATATCACTATTTATGCTTGGGAGTCGCAAAAGCCTCACTATATTCTTTCTTAAAACTAATGTACCGTGCTTCTCAGCATGATTTATAGTTTCTCATGGCTTAGGCTATCAAGCAGAGCTAACTAATTAATTTGTTGATGACACATATGCCAAAGATTTATATTAAACCGAAAAAATTGTTTGAACTAAATTTTTATGGGTAACTTAAATAAAGAAGAAATACCCTACAAATTAAAATGAAGCCAGTATAACTGTTATAATAAAACCTAACAGAGGCACAGTAGTAATTGAAAACTTAAAAACAATTTCCCTGAAGACCATAAATAAAAATATTTTATATAAAACGTTAGCAAATCAAGTAGATATAAGTATGTGTGTGTGTGTGAAAATACAAACAAAAAAGTTAGATTTATTACAGGAATGTGAGGTTGATTTAATATTAGAAATATCGATTAATTTACCACATTATTTCTGCAAAGAGAAACATTTGATCGTCTCAATTGAAATGGAAATAATAATAATATATGAAACTTTTAAGCTACGTTAATAGTAGTTTAATTCATTTGGATTGATTGTTCTGCTGAAGGAAAAACAGAAAGATCAAAACAATATTTTAAAAAATCAAAGTGAGGAATAATCTAGAAAAACTGAGGAAACAACAGAAGGCAGGTGACTCTGAATTGTTTCCACCGTGATGTATTTGGTGATCTGGTGTAGGTATCTGAGAGACTGAACTAAGCTGTAATGGACTAATTTGGAGATGGTAAAACAGGAACTGAAATTCGGTGTCAGCCATACTTGGAAACCCTGGCTAATCATCTCTCTTCTGGGCTAGACCCACATGAGCTAAATCTCTTTAAATAATTTTATTCTTATAAACGTAAATAAAGAGCTCCACATGCAGCGAACTTGAAGAGCTTAATGAATTAAGGTTGAATTCCAGTGATTGCCAGCCATTCAGTCCCTGATGAAACCCACCCAGCTCCAGATGCAGAACACAACAGCACTAGACATAATAGTGTTGACTTTTTCTCAGCACGTCCTCTAGAGCACCTAGAAACAATGGCCCTTGATTCTGGACTGCTAACATCCACAGTGTCTAGTAGGAGAAAAGGAAAATCTGTGGAGTAAGAAAATGACATCTTAGGTATCAAATTACTTACATAAGTAATTATTTTAATACAACATGGTGAGCATAATCTAAGACAAACAGCAAATAAGAAGATAAAACTATGTAAGTCATAATGAGCAGAACAAGTTAAAGACAGAAATATACCCTCAAAATTTTAGTTAAAAAATTATCAGGTGCTGTCTGTATGATACATTATTATAGTTTATCAGCTATTGCTTGGAAAACCTAAACTTTTCTCTTTTTTATCGGTACATTTGTTTTGGAGAGAATTTTATTTTCTCCTACCAAGTCTTGGGATAATCAACCAATTTAAGAAGAGCTCAAATTTTATGAATAAAAGTAAATGATACCCAAATCATTTATAATAACACTGCAGAAAATCAAAGACAGATACATCGTTTTAAAAGTCTGGGTTAGGGTAGGAGGAAAGCTAGATCAGCTCCAATGAGGTAATATTCTGATAACTGAGTTTTCAGTAGAAGCAGAAAAAAAAAGCTCTATGTCAGTTAGTTCCATGTATGGAAAGACAAGACAGTAACTTGTATTCCAAGACAAGTTTAGCCCAAAGCTGCCTCTTTACATATTTAAGTTCAGCCTGAAGGTTTTTCTGTACATTGTGAAATATAACAAGTGGAAGTGTAAACTGACCCTAGCCTGCACCTGTGCCAATCACTGAGTTTTGGCCAGTGAAATGTAGCCAACTGTTTGAACTGTGTTCAAATAAGGCACACACTGAGCTGTAACCAATCCAGTTGTTTCTATATCTCACTTCTGATTTCTGTACTCGCTTCTCTCTCTCTCTTTTTTTTCTTTGTCTAGAAGTCTTCCACCACATGGCTTTGCTGGAGTCTCTCTGAATCTGCTGTGATTCTGGGGGCTGCACAATTCGTAAATCGTTCATTGCTTAATTAAACTTTAAATTTAATTAGGCTGAAGTTTTTCTTTAAACATCTCCATCTAGTAATAAAAAATTTCTTTCAAGAATTAGAACTTATAAAGATTTTTTAGATGAACCACCAAATTATAATCACTACCAAAAGATAAATAATGCAAGAAATGTCAAGCCTGTTACACTAATAAAAGTAAAGTAATTCTAGATAGGACCTTGAATTGCAACAAGTTATGAAGATTGAATAAATACATGAGCAGGTTTGAAAATCAAGTAAATATGTAGGTTAATATAAATGAATATTCATGGTGTCAAACAGAAACGTTTTAGGGGATTTAAAATACAAATATATTGAATTAAAACATCTGACATGACTATAAATTGGAAGGGTAGAAATGGAGTTAAAGTCTTTTAAATTACTTGCTCTTTTGAAAAGGAAGGTCAAGATAAGACAAAAAAACTTTATTAAGTCAGAGGTTCATGTTTTAATTTCTTGAGTGAAGAAGGTTCAAAAAAAATGTAAACATCTTAGTTGATGGAACAAGGAAAGCTTCACTTGAGATTTTTTAAAAAGAAAATGGTGTCTTCCCTCCTTACTTCTATTCAACCTGACACCAGATGACCTAATCAGATCAGGACAGTGAGAATATGAAATACACTACAATAATGAACTGGGAAAACAAAAAAGAAATACACTGCTACTAGTGCTGATACCAAGTTTGCTGCTTAAATTTTCCAATCTTAGTAATCAGACTGTGTTCAATAGTGTACATGTTCTTAGCAGTTTTTTTTTAAATATCTGGATGTTGCAGGCTAGTAGTTATGGGGATAGCTAGGGTGAGGGCTGATGTCTGTGTCCACTGGAGGGTTAAATTTTAGAATTTGGCTTATTTCCATTGGTTTCTGTCTTAAATAGGATGGATATTCTTTTGTGAAGTTTTTTCCTAGGAGATTTTGTTGCTATCTCAGTGTCAAAGATTGTTAAACTATGACCAGCTGCCTGAAATACCCTTACAGGAATTTTACAAGGCTTGAAATAAAGAAAACTGAAGCCAAATTTTCAATAAGTCTTTTACACTTAATTATTGAGACAACTGACATAGTTAAAGAGGACAAAAGAAATATTAAGCACTCAGAAACCTTAATGTTGAAATAATTTATTTTTATAAGACCTACATGTCTGTAGAATAGATAAACTGTGGACAAAACCTTCTCAAGCAAAGTACATTGAAACAGAGAGCATTACTGTTTTGATGAAATATTCCTTATCAGAAAAATGTCACAGTTCCTTGAATAAGGCTGTATTGTTAAAGTGAAAGGAAGTCCTTTCTATTGAAAACACCCACACTCTCTGGTTTAATGGCTACTTGACCACTATACATAATGCAAAAACATCAGTATGGATCTATTAAGAATAGGGCCCTTTATAATTCAGTCATATTAAATAGAGAAATTAGAACTGAAATAATGCTGGAAGGAAGTAAGAAGACATAGGTTGAGTCCTAATTCTCCTGTTTAGGATTTACGTACTTTCAATTCCTTACTCTAAGTTTAGGGATAACAATTCTTCAGTTGCCTTCATGTGTAATAATTATACCAATAAAAACTAATACAGGTCAATTTTTAAAGTTTATTGAATCCCTGCATAAAAAACTCTTGTCACCTGGAATTACAGAACTTTTTTATTTTTTTTTGTTTTTATTCAGTCCAAAGCATATATTAGGGGAACTTAGATAGACAGGGGTCTTTAGCCTCCTTGTGATGAAGAGTGAGAAAAGAGATGTTCCATCCAGGTATGTCCCTAATGGGCTAGCTAGGTTATATGAGGGTTGCAGGAATTTGGCTCAGGGGTCATGGATAATTTCTATGAGCTTCAAGCAACAATCTCAAAAGCTTTATCAGTGCCTGGAAATGTTTAAGACCCCATCTTGGGTTCAAGTCTGCAGGGGGAAATATGCTGCTGTCCAGGTTACAGAGTGGTCAGGGCACTCTGTTTCTTGGTCAGGTTTTACAATAAAACTTAAATGACACAAAATAATATAATTGGTCAAATTGAGAATTTTATTTCAAATTCATTTTCTTTCCTGCAATAACGTAGCAATAGTCTTACCATGGTTGTAACAATAAATTAATATATTTTAATAATGTTAGGCAGCATTATTTTGGCAGCAAAATTGTGATTATCAATGAATAACTCTAATACCTGATGTCATAATATAAATACACATATATGCCATATATAACTACACATATAATATACATTAAACTTATAGTATATATAATTTTATATTTAACATAATGGACATACAGTTAACATTATATACAATTAAATTATTTTATTCAGAGAAAGTTATCTGATGAGCAATATATGATCCATCTATCGATCCATCATCCATCCGTCCATCCATCCATCCATCCATCCATGCATTATTCCAAACTGATGATTAATTTTTAAAAAGTCATTTATTGGGAATTTAGACAGGGGAAAGTAATTAAAGGAAAAAGAAGTTCTGCTTTGGCATTACAGTAATTTATAAATTCTAAAAGAACATTTTTCTTAAAAACATTTAACGTGCTGAACAAAATGCAACACATAATGTATTAAATGTATTGCTAATCTAAGCTTACAAAAATGAATTTTCAAAGACAAAAACAAGGAAAGAACAAAATGAAGGTCATATGCATGAGCTAAAACTGGTCATTACCAGAAGGGGATTGACAATACTAGAGTTTACAGCAGCCTAAAGTATGAGAAACAAGATTGTGTTCCCATAAGTTAGGAGAAACTAAAGACATATTATGAAGGGGCAGTGCAGGGGGCTTAAAGAGATACACTCACAGTAAAATGATAGGAAATATACCTGTCAGAGTCTTAGCTCAAAGTTGAAAACTGTCTTCGGTAAGAATTTGTAATGTTAACTGTACACTTATGGACACTTGGTTTAGATTCACACTGCCTATTGACTGGGGACAATCTCAAACCAATTACTTAAGTTAAATTGATTTCCAGTGGGAAACATCCTGGAAGTACGTGGAAGAAGCAAGTTACAAATTAAGGCCAAACAAATGTAAGTTCAACATTTAAAAATGGTTAAATATAAGAAATAAAGATAAATGAGTAATTTCATAAATTAGGCCTCTCAGAAATTCAGATATGGAATTTATCCAACATAATACAATGTGACTATTATTAAATGACTATTAAAGTTGAAATACAGAATTGAAAATAAGAGCCATAAGCATTATACTGTGAAACATTGTTAGGAAAAAAGAAATGAGCCTGGCTGCCTATTATGATACTTCAAAAAATGTAAGATAGATAGATAATAGTGATAAATAGGTAGAATTATATATATAGAATGATATAGGTATAGAGAGATTACATAGTGATATGAGAAAGAGAGATAAATTAAAATCTCAAATGATAGTTTGAACCACAAAGTAGCCAACAAAGAATTAATACAGAGGGAAAATAAGTAATAACTACAAAAATTAGAATATAATAGTTTATATTAGTAGTAGATTTATATTATATAGCACAAAAAATATAGCACAAAATATAGCACAAAAAAAATGACAGAAAAGAGATTGAAGAAAAATAGGACAAATTAAGAGGCATTGAGGACACAATAAAATTGTCTTCATAACATACACCAAATTGGCAGTCAGAAAATAGAAAACAGGAAAAACAGTGAAGCTTTAATACTGAAAGAAGAAAAGAGACAGGAGAAAAAGGGAAACCTTGTCTTTTCAAAGATTCTGAATGAAGTTTAAAAACAATTAATTAAATGAAATTTGCTCTGAGACACATCGTAATTAAATTTTTGGGGGGAGGGCTTGTGTGAAAAGAGAGAAAAGAAAGATGACTTACCATTTCAAAAATTAAAAAGTATAAAAATGATTCTATATATATTACTTACGGATATCAATAGATAGGTATAGTGCTTTGGCTTCACACTAACCCAGTGAAGGACTAAATGTTATTTTCCCAGTTACCAGTGAGTAAATTTATACCAAAAGAGTTTCTAAAATGTATCCTTAGTTATGTTAATTACTGTCCCAGCTGAGCTTTGAACTCATGCATTGAAATCTGAGAGCAAAAAGCTAGCATTAGAAGGCTTTTCTGTTGGCACTACTCTAGCTCATCCCTCATGAACTTTTCTGTAGGAGGACAGGCAATTTGACAGTCCTAGTGCATTAGGTGGTACAATCTAGTATGATTCTGAATGAAGT
Organism: Homo sapiens; assembly: GCF_000001405.40. Lineage (NCBI taxonomy): Eukaryota > Metazoa > Chordata > Mammalia > Primates > Hominidae > Homo > Homo sapiens. The sequence goes on from NW_003315968.2 coordinate 127,472, forward strand.
AAGCATCACAAGGATGCTAAAGTCCTTCCTCTATGTAACTTCCCCTAATAAATGCTTTGAACTAATACCAACAAACCAACAAAACAAAACACACCTCTGTAATTCCAGATTACAACAGTTCATACTTTTTACATATTTTTATACAGGGATTCAATGAATCCCTTTTAAGGCATGCCAAAGGAAAATGCTTACTAAGATTTACTTATTCTTGTATAAGTAGAGGTTGGGGAAAGGAACATAATAAAATACAGTAAGGTGATAATAGAACATCACAAAGTATTTAATTGCATCACGTACATTAATGATATCACATTATTACTGAATTTATTTTAATTCTAAATGTTTTAAAAATTTGAGACAAAAAATTGCCTCTTGCTCTACAGTAGAGAGATTGTATCTCATTTTTTTTGTACCCCATCTAAAAATTTAAATTGTTATAATCTTTACACTACACATAAAAAATTTTATATCACTGAGTATTACTTAACGTAGCAAGTCTAGTCCTAAATTTTTACACCAAACAAGGCAAAACACCAAATCATTAATGAAAAATAGGAAATATTTAAAGGTTATTTTGTATATTATTTTAAAATAAGTGTATTGTATGCAGTAACCCAACATCAGAAAATTTGAAGAAAATGTGCATAGATTTGGCTAAAATATATGTGAGTAATTTAATAAACCATGCATATTTCAAAAAAGGACATTGATTAAAAGGCAATATAGTGCCAGAAAACAAAAATCTGAAAATTTATATGCCACAGCAGCATTAATAACCATAACATAAATAAGGAAAATATTTAAAAAATTCTAATAAAATTAGACAAAAAATATGATTAAAAATGCCAAATTTTCAATATCTTAAAATGTCTAATAATAGTCGTTATTGTTTATATTTAATAATTCCAAAAATATTATTTTTCAATGATAGTCTTTTACATAGAAAACAGATTACAAAATGGCAACTCTATTATGATACTTAAAAAAAATTATCTTATGTGTGTATTTGTGGCTCTATGTGGCGGCAGAACCAAATATGCATGTACATTACCTGTCTGTCCTTAAGAAAACATTCAGAAGGATAAACCTCAAATAATAGTTATGTCATCTGTGTGTGGTTTCATGTCTATTTACTGCTAGTTAAGAAATGCTTCAGAGAGGGAACAAAAGGCAAACAGATGTATAACTTGCCCAAAGATACAGCATAAGTTATTAGCATGGAGCTGGAATTAAAAGCCAGATTTTCTTGATGTAGTTCCAAAGCCTATTTACCATTATGTTTAGCAATAACAGGAAGTAAAATGACTATAAAACTGGTCTGCAACGTAAGCATATGAAATAATTAATATCACAAAATTCCTAAAATAAGACAGAAGCATTTTGCTATTTCAGAATAGTGGCATCAACTTGAAGCATTTTGATACTTCAGAATAGTGGCATCGGCTTACAAAAGATATAGAAAAATAAAATTTACAGAAAGCAAACCAAAAACAAAATTGTCTTGAGATTTATAGTTACCAACTTTTACAATTAGTCTTCATCAGCTATTCACTATATTTGTGATGCAAATTTTCCTATATGCCATATGTGTATTGGCCAGATGAATAGTGATTAAGATTTAGAAAAGAATTTAACAATATTTATGCTAATCTCTCAACAATGTAATTGGAAAAGACTTGTTTAATTATAAAACTTATGGAAGTAAAACATCCATCTGTGCAATCATATTTGTAGTTTTTGAAGTAAATCAGATACTTTTCAACTATAACCACAAAGGGTCAGGTAAGTAAGAAGAAATAATACAAGGCAATTTTTAAAATGAAATGCATAGAAATATTTATATAAAAAATGATCACTTATATCAGGTGCTATATTAACATTTTAAAGATCTAAATTCATATTATACCAATAAAAAAGAAGACATAAAATCAATTTATGTCTCCTATGAAAATACTGTAGTCATTAACATTATAATGGCTTACTTTATCAACACTCTTATTACCAAAATAAGTGCATTGAGTAACCTCTGATTTTTAAAATCAATAAAATAGTTAAATTATTTAGTGGTTATTTATATTTAAAAGTGACTTAGAGAAAAAACAATTATGTCAAGTCCTCACAGGGCAATGTGTAATAGTAGAAATGTGTTTCACTTTATGAAACAGTCATGTTCATAATAGACTATGTGGATATAAACCTCCTGAAAACATTACATCACATTAGGGAATTTACACTATAAATGAGTCTGAATTATTTTCCAAAGTGAAGAATTATTTCATTATGAATATCAAAATATGCACCTCATTGATTAATTCATATTTTATTATTTCAGATTTCTCAATGTCCTGAGACTATTTCTTTGAATGATTGTTGCCTTATTAACATAATTCCCTGATCTTAAACACATAACATAACTTTGTGTGTATTGCCAATTGCACCAGCAGATGTTTATGTTCTAACAATTTATTGTAATGCTATCGTGAAATCTAAAATTTTTTGTGGAATTTTTAAACAATGACAAAATATCATGACCAACTAATTTAAATGGTGATGCTTACTACATAGTTATTATGTCAACACGAACCTGCTGGCATTAGATACTCACTCTCTCCATTGAGGTAAAAATCTCAATAATAGTCCATAATTAAAGAAAAATGTTATTAGTCCTATACAAGTTTGAGCATTTACCATAGGGAGAACTGCAGCAAAGAGGGAAGGAAGGGAGGAAGGAAGGAAGGAAGGAAGGAAGGAAGGAAGGAAGGAAGGAAGGAAGGAAGGAAAAGAAGGAAGGAAGAAAGGAAGGAAGGAAGGAAAAAAGGAAGGAGGGAGGGAGGGAAGGAAAGAAAGAAAAGCTTAAACTCTAATTCTTCAACTTATACTGACTTCAATTAATCCTACTGATATGATCTGAGTTTGTCCCCCTACATTTATGTGTTGGAAACTTAATCCCCAAAGGAACAGTGTTAGAGGATGGGGGCTAATGGGATGAACTTAGGTTATGAGGGTTCTGACCTCCTGCATGGATTCATGCTGCTATGAACAGGGTTGGTGAGAGTGCCTTCTCTCTCTTTTGCTTTTCTGTCATGTGGGGACTCAGTACTTGTCCTCTTTTGTCCTTCGCCTTCTGCCACGTGAGGACACAGTAAGAAGGCCCACAACAGATGCTGGTGTCTTGATCTTGCCAGCCTCCAGAACTGCGAGAGAATAAATCTTAATAAATTACCCAGTATTTAATATTCTGTTATGGCAGCACAAACAGACTAAGGAACCTGGCAAGTGAAGAGAGTTGACAAATTATCTGGTTCAAGCCTCTAATTTTGCAATTGAGGACATTGATATGAAGTATGGAAAGTATCTAAGATCATTCAGCCACCTAGTAGAAAATGTTTTAGAATTGACTTCACTACTGTACTCTCCACTGTAACCTATCAATACAAACTACATTGTCTTCCTCCAAAATGTATACGTTGAAGTCATAACCCCTAATATGACTATATTTGGAGACAGAGTCTTTAAGAAATAAAGTTAAATGAGATTTGAAGCATGGGGCCTAATTAAATGTGACTGATGTCTTTATAAGAAGGGAAAGAGACATCAGGGATTTTGAGCACAGAAAAAAAAATGTTATGTGAGGACACAGTGAGAAAACAGCCATCAGCAAGCTAGGGAGAGAAACCTCAGGAGAAACCAAATCTGCTGACATCTGAATCTTGGACTTTGAGTCTCCAAAACTTTGAGAAGTAATTTTTGTTTGTTTGTTTTAAAACACCCAGTCTGTGATATTTTGTTACCATAAACCTAGTGATATATTTGCTCTATTTATTGGATGTAACTTATTTCTTGATTTTGTCTATTTCATCACTCTGGTATTCATCTGACCTGACACCATGCTTCTGTCAGGACACCATCTTTGTGTAAATTCTGTTCTGTGCCTTTCGATACTGAATCTATATTCTGATGCTTTTAGTATATAATTGTAATACAGGTCTTTTGGATTGTGAAACAGGGCTCTACCATCATCCACAGGTAACTACTTTATTTTTGGGAACAGCTCTTGGTTTGTTACTAGGTTTCAGTAGAACCTGAATGCTTCGCAATAGGCCGCCAAGTTACTTTGTGACCTGAACTGTCCATTGTGAACTGGGTGTTATCTCACCCACCAAATGATGAAGTTGGGCATACACAGCAATACTCTACTGGAAAATTGAATGACATATACATGATTAGGCCTATGGAAAATTATCCAGATGGTCTTGGACCAATCTAGTTCTTCCTACATTCTTGCTCTTAGTTCTTAAGAATAAGTATAGAACGTATTGAGAATGCAGTATCCTGAGATAGGAGGAACTGCCTAAAACATCCTGGGCCTTGTTTTTGTCCCTTCTGGGAGTGAGACATCTTGAGTTATGGAGGAACTGTCCAAGACAGCACAGTCTTTGTTCCTGTCTCACCTGGAAAGAAGGATGTCCTTCTAAGCTTTTCCCAGTGATCCACATGGCCCCTGGAGTTTATAACCTAGGGTGGCTGCCTTTCAGGGCCCTTCAACTGTGGTACAGGTGGCTCAGTGCAGTAAAGACTCCATCTGTCCCAGGCAGCTTTCTTACTCAAAATGGATCCTAGATTTCTTTCATCCCTTGCTGCCAATCTGTACACAATTAATCTTCCTGTCTCACTGGACTCTAACAGTTTGGTAGCCAGTGCACAGAGAACCTGCTCCACAGGGCCCACACAGACCCTGAAGACACAAGGCAGATGAAAAAGGTGCCCAAATGCCCACAGTCTCCATTCCTGCTAAACTGCCTTTTCTCCCTAGCCTACACCTGTGGCCTCATGGGGAACTCTCTAAAATCAGTTAACAGAGGAAGAGAAGACTCAGGCCTGGTTTATGGATGGTGCTGCATGACATGTGAGCAGTATCTGAAAGTGGACAGCTGCAGCAGCCACAGCCCCTCTCTGGGACATCTTTGCAGAACATTGTTGAAGAGAAATCCTCTCGGTGTAGTAGTACATCAGGTTGTGCAGCTGATTGTGCAGGTTGCTTTAAAGAAGAAATGGCCAGAGATATGACTACATACCAATTCATGGGCTATACAAATTGTTTGCCTGTATAGTCAAGGACTTGGAAGGAAAAGGATCAGAAAACTTGGGACAAAGAAATCTGGGGATGGGGTATATGGACAGATTATTTTTGAATGGGGAAGATATTTGTGTCCCATGTGAATTCTCACCAATTACCTCAAGAGGAAAAATTTAATAATCAAGTGGTAAGAATGATATGTTCTGGAGATCCCACTCAACCTCTTTCCACACCACCCTATTGTCACCCTATGGGCCCATGAACAAAGTAGCCATGATGGCAAGGGTATCAGTTATGCATGGGCTCACTCAGGATCATGCACTTCCCCTCAGGGAAGGCATGGTAATTCTAACAGACACTGTGAGACTTCTACTCACCAATGGCAACCTGTATTGACTCCTCTCCATTCCCAATCTATCAGCAGCCAAAACCAGCACTGAACCCCCAATATGGCATCATTCCCTGGGATTGGCAGCCAGCTGCTTGATGGCAGGTCAAATATACAGAACAGCTTTCAACATGGAAGGGACAGTGTTTTGTTTTTAATGGAGTAGATGCTCTGGATATGGATTTGCCCTCTCTACGTACAACGCTTCTGCCAAAATTACCTTTCATGGACTTACAGAATACCTTATCCACCATCATGGTATTCTGTATCTCATTGCATCCTATCAAGGAACTCACTTCATGGCCAAAGAAGTGTAGAAATGGGCTCATGATCATGAAGTTCACTGGTTTTACCATGCTCCCTACCATCCTTAAGCAGTTGGCTTGATTGGATCGTGATATGGCGTTTTTAAGACTACGTTATTGTGTTCATTAGGTGATAACTGGGGCACTTGCAAGTATGGGATAAAATTCTGCAGAGGATCATATATGCTCTGAATCAGCATCTGATGAAACAGGAAACATGGTGCTGTTTCACTGATAGCCAGGATTCAACAGTCTAGGAATCAAGAGGTGGAAATGAGAGTGGCCCTACTCCCTATTACTCCTGTTAACCCACTAGCAAAATGTTTGCATTCTGTTTCTGTGACTTTATGCTCTGCTAGCCTAGAGGTCTTTATTCCAGAGGAAAAATGCCTCCACCAAGAGACACAACAATGATTCCATTGAAGTGAAGGTTAAATGGCAACAAGGATGCTTTGGGCTCTTCCTGCCTCTGAGTCAACAGAACATGGAGGGTGTTTCGGTGTTGGGTGAAATAATTGATTTAAACTACCAAAGGAAAATTGGACTTCCACTCTACAGTGAAGAAAAGGAAGAGGAAACAGAAGGAAAACACGAGATATCTTAGGATGTCTCTTAGTATTACCATGCTCCGTTTTAAGGTCAGTGAAAAACTGTAACAACCCAATCCATACAGGACTAAAAATGGCCCAGACTCTTCAGGAATTAAGATTTGTGTCATACAGCCAAGTAATGAATCATGACCAGCTGACCTGCTTCCTGAAGAAAAAAGGGAATACAGAAGGAGTAGTAGAAGAAGGTAGTTATAAATAACAGCTATGACACATGACCAGTTATAGAAAAATTGAAATTGTTATATTTCCTCCTTATTTTGTTATGAATATGTTCTCGTGTATATGTATACATATTGAGCAAATATCTTTGTTTTCTTATTATCTTATCATGTAACATAAGATATATTGATTTTATATTAGTATTTAAATATTGTTAATTTTACATCAAAGCATTTAAGCTATGAGATATAAGGAGAAAAATTAATGTTATTCGTGGACCTTAGCTACTCTTCTGTGGAAAGGATTAGTGCATTTTGTGTTATAAACAGGGTGGTTGACTCATGTTAGGTAGAATTCTAACCTTGTTATTGTCTGTATTTGGAGATTAAGTATGGTTTAAGGAAATGTGTGTGGGTGCCAAGTTGATAAGGGGTGAATTTGTGATGGTTAATTTTAAAAAATGTTCAGAAGAGTGGTAAAATTTATTTCTGGTGATGTCTGTTAGGGTGTACCCCAAAGAGAATAACATTTAAATCAGTAGGCTGAGATAAAAATATTTCCCTCCCCAATGTGGGTGAGCATCAACCAATGCTTTGAGGGCCTCACTAGAACAGAAAGAAGGAAGAAGGGCAAATTCAGTCTCTGTTTCAGCTGGGCTGTCCATCTTCTCCTGCCCTCAGATATACGTTCTGCTAATTCTCAGGCCTTTGGACTCGGGCTGAATTTGTCATCAGCTTGCCTGGTTCTCCAGCTTTCAGACAGCAAATCAAGGAACTACTTAGTGTCCATAATCATATAAGCCCTAATTCTCATAGTATATCAATTATTATGATTTGATTTCTCAAATGTCTCTCTCTCTCTCTCTCTCTATATATATATTACATATATATATATATATACACAGTCAACCTTTCTCTATTATATATATGTATATAAATATCTCTCATATGAGTTGTATATTTAACTTCTCATAATAAATCAATCTCTCTATATAGATGTATATATATACATATTATGTGTTATTAAGAATTATTAGAAAATATATCTATACATATAGATATATAGAGAGAATATCTACATCTATATCATAAACACACACACACACATACATACACACACACACACACACACACACACACACACACACACACACATATCCTGTTGGTTCTGTTTTTCTGGAGAATCCTGTGATATGGTTTGGCTATGTCCTCACCGAAATCTAATCTTGAATGGTAGTTCCCATTATCACCATTTGTCATGGGAGGGCCCAGGTGGACATCATTGAATCATGGGGGTAGTTTCCCCCATCCTGTTCTCATCATAGTGAGTTAGTTCTCCCAAGATCTAATGGTTTTATAACAGACATCCCCCTTCACTGGGTACTCATTCTTCTCCTTCCTGACTCCATGTGAAGAAGGACGTGTTTGCTTCTCCTTCCATCATAATTGTAAGTTTCCTGAGGCCTCCCATATCATGCTGAACTGTGAGTCAATTAAGCCTCTTTCCTTTACAAGTTACCCAGTCTCGGGTGTGTCTTTATTAGCAGCATGAGAATGGACTAATACAGTAAATTGGTATTTGGTAGTGGGGTACTGCTGTAAAGATACCCGAAAATGTGGAAGCAACTTTGGAACTGGGTAAGAGGCAGAGATTGGAACATTTTGGAGGGCTCAGAAGAAGACAGGAAGATGTGGGAAAGTTTGAAACTTCCTAGAGACTTGTTGAATGGCTTTGACCAAAATGCTGAGAGTGATATGACAATGAAGTCTAGGCTGAGGCAGTCTCAGATAGAGATGAGGAGCTTGTTGGGAACTGGAATAAAGGTGACTCTTGCTATGATTTAGCAAAGAGACTGGTGGCATTTTGCCCCTGCCTTAGAGATCTGTGAAATGTTGAACTTGAGGTGATTTAGGGTATCTGGTGGAAGAAATTTCTAAGCAGCAAAGTGTTAAAGATGTGACTTGGGTGCTGTTAAAAGCAGTCAGTTTTTTTTTTTTTTTTTTTTTTTTTTTGACAGAGTCTCATTCTGTCACCCAGGCTGGAGTGCAGTGGCACGATCTCAGCTTACTGCAAGCTCCGCCTCCCAGGTTCATGCCATTCTCCTGCCTCAGCCTCCCAAGCAGCTGGGACTATAGGTGCCCGCCACCATGCCTGCCTAATTTTTTTTGTATTTTTAGTAGAGACGGGGTTTCACCATGTTAGCCAGATGGTCTCGATCTCCTGACCTCGTGATCTGCCCACCTTAGCCTCCCAAAGTGCTGGGAAAAAGCAGTCAGTTTTATGTGTGCACAAGGATATGGTTTGGAATTGGCACCTATACGTAAAGGAGAAGAAGAGCATAAGAGTTTGGAAAATTTGCAGCCTGACAATGAGATAGAAAAGAAAACCCTATTTCCTGAGGAGAAATTCAAGCCACCTGCAGAAATTTGCATAAGTAACAAGGAGCCAAATGTTAATTGCCAAGACAATGGGGAAAATGTCCCCAGGGTATGTAGGAGGTCTTTAAGGCAGCCCCTCTTATCACAGGCCCTGAGGACTAGGAGTGAAAACTGGTTTCCTTGGCTGGACCCAGGGCCTTGCTGCTTTGTGCAGTCTTGGGACTTGACTCCCTGTGTCCCAGCTGTGGGTAAAAAGGCCACCGTACTGCTCAGGCTGTTGCTTCAGAGGGTGCAAGCCCCAAACCTTAGTGGCTTATACATAGTATTGGGCCTGAAGGTGCATAAAAGTGAAGGATTGAGGTTTGGGACCCTCCACCTAGATTTCAGAAGATGTATGGAAATGTCTGGCTATCTAGGAAGAAGTTTACAGCAGGAGTGGAGCCCTCGTGGATAACGTCTGCTAGGGCAGTGTGGAAGGGAAATGTGGGGTGATAGCCCCCACACAGAGCCCCCACTGGGCCATTGCCTAGTGGAGCTGTGAGAAGAGGGCCACCATCCTGCAGACCCCAAAATGGTAGATCCACTGACAGCTTGTACCATGTGCCAGTAAAAGCTGCAGACACTCAATGCAAGCCTGTGAAAACAGCTGGCAGGGGGTCTATACCCTGCAAAGCCATGAGGCAGAGCTTTCCAAGGCCATGGGAGACAACTCCTGCATCAGCATGACCTGGATGTGAGACATGGAGTCAAAGGAGATCAATTTAGAGCTTTAAGATTTGGCTGCCCCACTGGATTTCAGACTTGCCTGGGGCCTTTAGCCCCTTTGTTTTGGCCATTTTCTCCAATTTGGAATGGGTGTATTTACCAAATACTTGTAACCTCCATTGTATCTAGGAAGTAACTGACTTGCTTCTGATTTTTACAGGCTCATAGGCAGAAGGCACTTGCCTTGTCTGATGAGACTTTGGACTTGGACTTTTGAGTTAATGCTGCAATGAAGTAAGAGTTTGGGGGACTGTTGGAATGACATGATTCTGTTTTAAAATGTGAGGACATGAGATTTGAGAGAGGCCAGGGGCAGAATGATATGGTTTGGATGTCTCCTCACCCAAATCTCATCTTGAATTATAGTACCCATATTTCCCATGTGTCCTGGGATAGACCAGGTGGAGATAAATGAATCATGAGGGTGGATTCCCCATCTTCTTCTTTTGATAGCGAGCTAGTTGTCGCTAGATCTAATGGTTTTATAAGGGGCTTCCTCCTATGCTGGGCACTCATTTGTCTTCTTCCTGCTGCCATGTGATGTAGGATTTTTTTGCTTTCCCTTTCTCCGTGATTGCAAGTTTCCTGAAGCCTCCCAAGCCAGGCAGAACTGTGAGTCAATGAAACTTCTCTCCTTTACAAATTATCCCATCTTGGGTATGTCTTTATTAGCAGCATAAGAACAAACTTTTACACATTACTAATACATTATCAATTCAAATTCATGACTCTTGCAACATCAACTGTGAAGTTGATTAGAACTTCATAGTTCTAATGAAGGAACTGTGGAAGTCTAAGCAACTCTTTGTTACAGAAAAGTAAAGAAAACATACATGAGACATTAGTTTGTAATTGGGTAAAAATACTAAACACATTAATTTCAAAATTTAATTCTGGATATTTCAATAAGAAAAGTAATTTTATTAAATTTTTTTTTGCATTCCTCTATGTAAATATACAAGAGAAGTCACAATTTCTTCTAGCAAATAAGAGTCATAACCAAAAACTATTGATGTTGCTACATAACTGAGAATCTGAGAATCTTGCCGAAGATAAAGGAACACAAATTAGGTGCATGTTAATAAGCCTTTGATAATAGACAAAGGATTTTGGGGTTTTAGCCTGGATATAGTATGGTGCTAGTTGCAGATGATATAAATGAAGTGAAATAATTAGGCAAGTATTTAGAAATGTTTGGCAGCAATGTGAAGGATTTAATAGATGGCAACAGACTAATGTCCAGAAAAGATAAGTATTTCCTGTAGTTGTCCAGTGTCAAAGTGATTGGGCTAGTACTAGTGCGACAGAGGTAGGAATTTAAAAAAAAAAAAAAAAAGGCATTGGATTTTTCAGTTACTAAAGAAATGGTATCAAAGAAATTTTGTGACCAATTTGATGCTGGGCATAAGTGAGAAGAAAGAGCAAACAATAATCCTCAGGTTCCTGCCATGAACCACTGGGCAAAGTTACTTACAAAGAAAAGGAGAGCAAGAGAAAAAGTACAAAAATCTTTCATCACAGAAGATAAGAATCTACCTTTTCCAACACGCTTCAAATTTCGTTGTGTGCTGTTGAATTTGTTAGTTGAGGAAAAAAAAATGAAAGGAATGTGTACTAAAATTCAAAACATGGTAAGAGTAAATGACATAAATGTTTATAGAATTAAATTTCAACATATTTTCTGATACAAGCAATATTCTTCATTAGTGAGTTTTATGGTGTTACAGAATAAAAATTATAGAGTATATCTATAATTACCAAGCATGGTATTTAATGCATGCCCAATAAAACAGATTTTACCGTTGTTTCCAAAGTGCCTCGTGAGTTTCATTTAACTGTGAAAATACCTTCCAGTTGTCAATATTCATAAAAATAGTGGCTTATCCAGAGTTGCCCTTTCAATATCAAAATAAAATTAAAACAAATGGTAAAAATGCAGGTTATTCGCAAAAAGAGAATGATAATTAAAGCCTCCAGGGGTTTAACCATAATGAATCAGAATGACAAAATGGATTTTGACTTTCTGCTCAGAACTGGCTTAGAAATCTATCTATTAAAATATTGTCAGGAGATTACTCTGTCAGAACTGGATAAGAATAAAAGATGTGAGCACACGAAATTACAGCTTTGCAATTTCAAAGTAATTTAAATCTGATATATTTCTTTTAAATTTTATTCCACAAAGGTTTTTTTCCAAGCTGAAAATTATTCTAAATGATATGGTTTCTTTTAATAGTGACCTTGAAATTATATTACCCGAATCAGTTACATCTATTATTTTTAAAATTTATTGTATGATCGATGTAAATCAGACATTCCCATGCAGATATATCTGGTTTTTCTACAGTTAAAAAAATTAGATTACTATTAGTTTAATACGTTATTTCTATCTTCAGCATGCACTTTATCCTTTTCTGCATCTGGTATGCACAATTAGATAATGTATACTGAACAGCATCAACTGTAAAATATTCAAGAAGATGAATTGCTTCATATAAATTAGAGATGGTAAAGCTTGATCAGTTCATTTTAGGTTAATGCATCTTGAGAGTCCCTCTATAATTCTATAAAATATAATACCTGCAATTATACATTAGAAGTAAATCATCCTAAAAAATGAATAGCGTAGAAAGTAGTATGTCACTCCTTCATTACCGTTAAATAATGTGTTTTTATAACTTGCCAATATGGATTTTATAGAGTCATTTCAGCCCAAATGAAGACCTATTCAAACTATATTTAGATTCTTAACTTAGTATTAATTTTTTATGAAAAAACATTTTATTAAATAAAACAATCTCTAAATATTACTTAAAGCTATAAAATGTTTTATACATATGTTGTTATTATTATCAGCTAGTGCTAGGGAAAAACAGAGACCAGATTTTTTTTAAATTATCCATTATTCTTTAGCATTGAAATCAAGATTTTTTTATCTTGTGGTTTATCACAGAATACACTATTCTATTTCGATTAGTGAAAATTTTTATTTTAAATATGTTTATTCATATAGTTTGGTAGCATACCTAAATGACTAAATTTCAAGCAATATTATACCATTAACTGTTAGATTATGTTTTCCTTTTGGAATTTTTCATCTAGTCCCTTAAAATAAGATTTTTATGGGGGAAGGGAGAAACGTTATGTACGTAAAGCTGAAATATTTACAGTACACATTTCAAAAGTCACTTCTGAATTTTGAATGTTTTACTGGTTATAAATACTATCCATGTTGTCATTTTTGTTGTTATTTATATAAAATTATGAGCAATAATCTAGAATATAATATAATATAGAGTTAGGAAAATATAATCAAACAACTTGATATGCAGACATCTGGAAATCAGTTAGACTCTTCTAAATAAATCTTATGATCTTGTGGTAGAGAAGAAGTAATTTCACCTCCTTAGAATGCTAGTTCTTAGTTTCTGCTCTTCAAATACTGGAGCACAGAATAAAGATGTCTCTGCATGAATCAAGAATTATTTTGTTGTTGTTGTTGCTTGTTGTTTGTCTTTTAATCTAACTTTTTCAAGCAATCATTGTATTTAGCCGACCACTAAATCTAAAGCCTACATTTGTGACTTGTGTTTAGAAAGATGATTTGAATAATGATTTTCTAGAAAATAACAAGGTGAGAAAAATGTTAAGGCTATAGAAACTATTGGAAACATCTTTTCTTTCTTTCTATTCTAAGACTAAATATTTACCATCAAGAAAAAATAAGATGGAAGAAGAAATCTTTGGTATGGTATAAACCAAAGTATGAATCCATATGAGGAAATCAAGACCAATGTAAATGACTTCCTCTTTCCAGTGTTCATGAATAAAATTTCATCTACCTTCTATACATGATGGTTCTATCTGGCTAGTGTCCAAGGACAAAGACCATCATTTTTACTACTGATGTTTGTATAGTGGCAGGAAGATAAATGAGTAAAGTTATCTGTTTCTTGTGAAATGATGAAGTATTGTGAACAATATGCATGCCCAAATTAACAAAAACATGTTACATAAAAATAAATGAAATGAATGGAAATCCAGACAAGAGCATGGAATCAAGAAAAGGGTAGGGTTATATTTGAAGCAGGAGATTTAAAAATATGGAACTAGACATGATTCTCAAAATTAGTTATAGCGCATTCTTTTGAAATCAAATGTACTGAGGTAAAGGTAATAGAGAATGAAGAGACTTAGATCTAGAAAGAATGTAAATGGGTTTACATAGACTATAAATCAATACATTTTATTTATTTTGTTTAGCCTATGAGTATATGGAGAGTTTTCAAATGTTAACTGGAGTCAATGTCAGTGGTAGTGAAATATAATAAAATAGAGTTAAGTGGTTGCCTGAACCCTCCTGCAGATAATTATTATGAAATATGAATAAAATAATATTTGAAAGTAGTATTGAATGTCTTCAAAACAGACAAAAGAGAGAGGATATTATCTTTTGAAAAACTGCAATCAAATAGTCTGTTTGTGGCTTTCTTACTTCATGGTATTTTCTGACCGTTATGATCAGAGTAGCCAAAAATCAGTCTTACCACTAACAGTTGACAGAGAATATTGTTCATGAATAAAAATACAAAAGAAAATTTAAGGGCAAAGTTCTGAAAATAGGGGATCTTCAGTAGACATGATATATAAAATCTGAATATAAACTGCCGAGATGCGTTACGTACCAGTAAAGTACATACACGGTGGACGTTACAGGGGCCCATAGCAAAAACACATCAGGCAAGGACCAAACACAAAATTGCCACTGACAGTAAGAGGGATGCCAGGTAATGTTTGTAATTCTTTGTTGTTGTTTAAACTAATGCATTCCTCAGTGAGTGCTCAGCTCACGGGATTGAAAGAGGGAGTCTTGCACAATTGATGTGCCAGAGGACAAAACCTGATACAAGAAGAGCAGGTGGAAATTTAAGATGCAGTCTCCAGAAGCAAGAAAATTACAGAGAAAGTGCTCAGTAATAGCTGAGCATGAACTTTATCCAAATCCTTAACAAACACTCAAATTACACATGAAAGAGGGGACAGCCAGGGATTTAGGCTTAAAAAAATTATATTTGCCTCTATAAGCTGTAAGAACCACAACAACAAAAAGTGTTCAGAAGAACAGAATGGAAGACAGACTTGCAGTGAAGTATTATTTATGATGGCTAGTTTTCAGCCAAAAAGTATTAGACAAGCATAGAACAGGAATATATGACCCATATTCAGGAAAACAATGCAGTCAGTGGAAATTACGTCTGAACAGGACCAGATGCTACATTTCACAGAAAAAAAAAAAGACTCCAAAGTAATTATTATAAACATGCTCGAAAAATGAAAGAAAAATATATTCAAGGAAATAAAGACAGTCTTCAGGAGTTACAGATACATTATATGGTTATATGAATAGAGAAAAAGTAAACTATAAAAATTAGAAACACTCTAGTTTAGATGTACACTCTTAAAACTAAAAAAATTATTGAGTCATCTCAGTGGTAATTTAGAGATGGCAGATAAAAGAATCTGTAAACTTTAGGATAGATTAATGAATATTCCTCCATCCAAAAGATAAAGAAAAAAGGACTGATAAAAATGAACACAGTCTTAATAGACCTTTGTGATAATATAGGGAAAGCAAACAAAAAAATTAATTAAGATCTTAAAAGAAAAGGTATGTAAAGTGCAGGTAAAAACCAAACAAATATTTGAAGAAATACTGTCTTAAATTTGTTGAAAAATATTATCTTTTTTTGTAAAACATTATCTTTTAGATTTTAAAAGCTAAACATTTCCAAGTGGGATAAACACAAAAGAGACTAATTCTAGTCCCACATAAAAATGATATTTCTAGTGTATACAGGGGAAAAAGACATATGACCCTTAAGAAGAAAACTAAAAAGCAAATATTATTAGATGACTTTTCAACAGTAACAATAGTGATCAGATGCCATTAGAAGAAAATAGCCAAAATACTGGGAGGAAAAACAAGCTGTAGCCAAGAATTCTGTATCTAATGAAACTGTCCATAAAAAAGGAAATATAGAAATGTTCACATAAGCTAAAATATATTGTATTGGGCTCATTTGGCCTACAAGAAGTGATAGTTCTTCAGGCTGAAGCAAAATGACAGTGACCTCTTGAATCTACAGGAATGAAAAAATGAAGACAAATGAGTAGCAAATATGTGGGTAGATATGAAACTATGCAGACACATAGATTGTCTCTGCTTCTCTTAAATTCTTAAAAGCCATTAACTGTTAAAAGAAAAAATTATAACCATTAGTTGCATGGTTTACAACTTTTATAGAATTAATTTACATGATACAAGAGCATAGAGTATAAGTGGTTTATAAAGGATGATTTATAAATTGCACCCCATTATAAACATGAATTACTAATTTGTTAAATGTAAGACGATTACCTGAAAATAAAGTGAAATCTGTAATTTTAGAGTAATGACTAAACAGTAATGCAAAAAAGGCAAAGAAGAAATCAAAATAGAGTACAAATAAAATATTCAAATAACACAAAATAAGAAAGAGGATAGAAGAAATAAACATAAAAATGAAGAAACAAAAACAGATAAAATAAGTTGAAAGCACTTCACCAAATGACAGACATAAATATTACTATATCACTAACTTTACTGTCAACAGAATATTCTATTAAATATAGAGATTGTCAGAAAACCAAAGGAACAAGACTCAATTATATGCTTTCTACAAGATGCACATACACTAAATAATTGTCACAAATGGGATAAAAGTTGAAGAAAGGGAAAATATGTTATTAACAATAAATCATATGAAAGCTGGAATAGTTTTATTAATGTCAGAAAAAATGGACATTAAAGTAAATTAACAGGGAAGAGAACTTAATCACAATAAAAGGGTCAATATATTCGGAATACATAAAAATTATAAATGTGCATATGCCTAATAAGAACATTTTAAAATATGTGAAGAAAATAATGACAAAGGAAGAAATAAACAAATCTGGAAACTTAGATGGAAATTTTAACACCATATCCCAATTGTTGATAAAAGAACTGAACAAAAATCTAGTAAGGTGATCGAACATTTTAATAACCCTGTATGTCTAACAGTGCACTCAATTACAGATTACATTATTTTTTTAATGCACATAAAACGTTCACCACAAAATATTCAACTTCTGAATCATAAGACAGCTCAATAGATTTAACAGTAAAATAGACTTTATTTCTTTATCATAAATTAAATTACACTAGAAGTTAAAAATATCTAGCAGTCTTGAGTATCTCAAAATTAAACAATTCAATTCGAATCAATCAAAGTGTAAATGAAGGAATTACAAGATGAAGTAGCAAATAGTATACTAAATGATAAGAAAAACTCAATGTATAAACATTTGTAGAAAGGTGCAAAACATTCATAAATGTAAATATATGAATTCAAATGCTTACATTACAGGTTTTATGAAAAGAACAATAAAAAGTTCTAAAACTATCTAAATTGGTCACAAAAAAAGAAAAAATAGGATATTCATTTTTGGTAAAAATCCCAAAATACAAGGTATAAAAGGGAACTCCCTCAAGTACATATAGAATATAAAGTATATTTTTGGAGAGTAAATATTTAGAAAGTGATTTGATTTGGCTGTATCCCCACCCAAATCTCATCTTGAATTGTAGTTCCCATAATCCCCATGTGTCATGGGAGGCATCTGGTAAGAGGTAATTGAATCATGGGGGCAGTTACTCTCATGCTGGCTTCATGATAATGAGTTCTCATGAGATCTTTTTAAGGGGCCTATTCACTCTTTCGCTCAGCACTTCTTGCTGCCCTGTGAACGAGGCCATGTTTGCTTCCCCTTCTGTCATGATTGCAAATTTCCTGAGGCCTCCCCAGGCCTGCGGGATGGAGACAATTAAATTGTTTTCCTTTATAAATTATCTAGTGCCGGGTGTGTCATTATTAGCAGAGTGAAAATGGATTAATACAGAAAGATATCCCATGCTAGAGGACTGGACGACTCAAATTTGTTAAGATGCTCTATTTTCCCAAATACATAAAAAGATTTAATGCAATCTCATTAAAAATTCCAGCAAAAGTTTTGAGACTTGGCAAGATGATTCTGAAATTTTTAGCTAAATTGCACATGACTTAGAATAGTAAGAACGTTTTTAAAATAAAGTCTTATACTATAAACAAGTAGAACTTAATTAGTAATTTCCAAATAGTTAACTTAAAACCTTAAAGTAGTATAATATTGAGTTATCGATAATTTAAATTTTGATAACATGACAATAATTTTAATATATTTCTAGTCTCATTTAATACATTTTACTACAGAAAATGGATGTATAAGTAACTTTAGGTTATATTAATATATGTGTTCTTATTTAAAGAAATGCATTAAACATTTTGGTATCAAATAATGAATATTTCTTATTTTTGGTTTGTTTACATGAGTACAATGTACACCATTTGGGCCATCGTTACCCAAAAAGCCCAGAATTCATCACTACACAGTATATCCATGTAACAAACTGCATATATACCTCTTAAATTTATACAAATAAAAGAGAAAAATAATGAAAAAATTATGTTCCTGAAAGTATGAAATGTCTTCATTGTTCAAGAATATGAAAGAAGACATTAAAATATATTTTGCTAGTTAATGGGTACAATAATGGAGTTGGATAGAATAAGTTCTGGTATTCCATGGCACAATAGGAAAGTGTGTTCTAAATCAAACCACAGATTATCTAACAGTACAGCAATTTTCCTAAAGATTGCAACTCCCATCCATCAACAGCACTTAAGGATTGCCTAGCGTTTCTCCATAAGCATTCTCATTTACTGCAGAAAGTTCAGTTATCCAATTGCAAGTAAACCAAATATAATTTAATAGTATAGGAATGTTTCTAGTGGTCTTTGGCTTTTTATGTTAATCAACTAAATTTGAAAGCTTAACTCAGCAATCAACAGGAATAACATTGATATATAAACCAATATTTAACAGTTACATTTTTATTGAAAAGGAAGCCGCGCTGGTTAAATTTGACTTTCACTTTATGCTTAGATTTCACACAATGATGTGCTTTGAGGAAACAAGGGTATATTTGAGATTAGTCCTAAGGCTTTTCAGAAAGATCATCCTTTCTTTGTTCTTTCCCCTAAGGTAAACCATTTCCATTGTCATAGCACTGACAAATAATTATTTTATTGCTGAAAAACTCCGACTCAGAGAAAATGTCACAGGTATTTTTTTTTTAAATAGCTGTTGCAGTTTAAGCTTTCAGAAATTGCTATATAAAACCTGTCATTTAGGGGGAAAATAAAATTTTCTGTAAAAACAATTCAAAAAAATGTAATTATTCCTGTGTTCATAAAACTTCATAGTAGTGATGAACAATGAAAAATATTCATTCTTTCTTAAGGTATCAAGTAGTCACAAATTTTATTTTTCATTTAAGAATTGATTAACTTCATTTTTCACTAATGAATTGGGATATATAGTGTGTATGTGTGCCTTGAAGCTGCAAGTTGGCTTTTTTATTCGCTTTTGGCTAAAATTTAAATCTGACCAATTTTGAATTTTAAATTTGACCAATTATCACAAACTGATCAGTTGTCTTGTTTTTGTAAATATCTACATTGGATTATTTCAATATGAAAATATTTAAAGTAGACTGAGGAGTTTCTGTATTATAGATCTTTAGGGTTCTGGAAACCCATCTTGCAATTGAGATTACAGAAACTCTCCATTGTATTAACTTATGTAAATCTGTTATAAACATCTTTTGTTGATGACAATATTATGACTGTCTCTCACATTTACTAAATGGGTGTAATATGAATCTGCACTCATTTGAAGGCATGCATGTGATGCCAAAATCAATGAGAATGTATGTAATTACAACCTTAATTCAATGGAAATTTATCTAATGATCCGTTATGACAAACAGAGCTACATGTAACAAGTTAATAATACCTTGTAATACATAATTTGAAGGAAAATACATTTTTATTATTTAATATTACTTAAATGGACAGAATAGAAATAATAGAAACCACATAGAAAAATAAATGAACTTCTAAAAATTTTATAATACTTTTACATTTTTAAAGTTTTTTATCTAGAAATATTTAACATGAATTCTGATATTTAAAATTGTAAGTCACCTCTCAACTTATTTTATAAAAAACTTTGTGTTTTGTTATACTAAAAATGTGTTTCTTGCAAATTACATTTATAAGTTTAATTTTTGCATGTCAAATAGAACACTATATTTACACACATAGTTGGCTTCTTGTCTAAGACCTTGACTTGATGAAATGATTAAAACAATTGTCTTGCCCAGAACTTGACTATTATTAAAACTGTTTTTATTCAAACAACATACATGAGTTGTTCATTTTTGTAACTTAGGCATTCATTTTGAAATTGATAAACAACCAATTAATATATGCTTTGACAGCTAATTAAAAATTAAAAACTTCACATGTACATAAGTCAGACATTACCTGCACAATTACCGTATATTTTATTTTCCACATGGCAGGAAAGATTCATTTTTAAGTATTTTTTGGAGCATTATAGAGAAGGACTGTATCTTCTTTCAAAAGGATTCTTTGGAGAGATAAATTTGACAAATGTAATAATCTATTGCACATGTGGAAAACATCTTCACCATTGTTTTACTTTTTTAAGTGGACTTAAACCATTAATTAACATTTCTTTGGCTTATTCCTTTTTTAATGTGCATTTTACTGGTAATAAAATATCTAAACCGTGATGTTATTTTGAAGATAAATACGCTGAAGTATGCATAGCTCTATTAAGTAGTTACAAATAACAAGAAGCCCTACAAACATAGGCTTATAAAATTGGGCTCAAATTCTGTTTTGTTCTCTTACTACATTAACTTTCATACTCATGAGAGTTACCTCACAGTTTCAAAATGACTATAGCTCTACATCTTTTGCAAAGGAGGAAAGGAAGAATATAAGAAAAAGAGAGCCTGAATCAGAAAGGGAAATGCTTTCTCCGGAAATCATTTATACTGTTCCTTGACCAGAACCGTGCACATAGCCAGCCCACCATTATCTGTGATGGATTCAACCAGATAAGTAGTTTTAAATTAGTCCATTGTTCTTGCAAAACAAAATTAGAAAAGGGGGGAAAAAGAGAATGAATATATGGCAGGCATTTAGTAAGGTCTTACCAGAGTGGTAGTACTTAGTGCTATTAGTGCTTAGGGGACATAGTGAGGCCTAAATGAATACTAGTTGTTACAATCTTGAAAGAGCTCTAGTGCCTGAGTCACTTTTATAGAGGGGACTTACTTGATATCGAAAATCAGTGCTCCAAGATTTTCACAGAAGACAATGGAAAATTTGCATCTGTTCTCCTTGTGATTGTTTACAAGGATTTTCACTGGGAATGAGTAAAATGTAATCTTCACATACAGGTTGAATAAATAGAACTATGATACAATTTAAAGGGCTTCATAAGGCCCCTGGTTAGAAAAATCTGTCACTTGGCTAACTGTAATTGGGACCCTCAGTTAATCATCCTTTAAGTTGTAAAATTTCCTTTACAACTTAAAATTTCTGCAAATAAAGCGCTTATATTTTAGTGTGAAATAAAAGTGAGTTTCTAGATAAACTCATAAGCAAAGAAAATCAAGAAATACTGCAACTTCACGCACTGTTAGTATGTGCATCTTTCTAGCTTGACAATTCTGCGTGTTTAGTAAGCAAATGCCATACATATTTTTTCTGTTATATGTTTCCTTCAAATAAAATCTGACTGAGAATCTGTGATCACAAAATAAAGCTGCTAATTATGAGCTGGGTCACCTTGGATCTTATCTAGGGAAGGACCACTTTCTGTAGAATCTTATCTATAAAATGTAAATAAATTAAAGGAGAGTATAGATGTATTATATGTGGACATGCATACTAAAAATGTATACTGTTTGAACATATTCAGATACTTTTTAGAACCGAACTATTGTATTTAGAATTTACTTCAATTGAGCCTTCCTCTTTTTAAGTAGACTGGAACATTAAAAAAATGTTTATTCAGGTAAACTAAACACATATACTATAAAAACATATGTGTGTGTGGAGTATGGGGACGTACCTGTTATGCAACCCAATTAATAAGATATAGGGTAGAATGAAAGATCGGTAGAGCTTCATGAGGATGCTAGTTTTGTCCTTCTAAAGAAAACACCAAGTAACAAGTCATACTGTGGATGCATCTATTGATTAACTTGCAGAGGTGGTGCTGAGACACTGGCACATTGATCAAACTTAGCCTAGGACTATGTTAATTATTTTTATTGCTCAATTCAGCATTGTTTGTATGTATCTGTCTCGGCATGTGTGTGAGTGTGTGGGTGGATGGGAACTACAATAAAAAGAATGAATAGCTCTATTATCATTATTTTGGTTAATTAAAAACTGAGACAAGTCAAAATGATTAGCTCTTCCTCCATCCAATTTTTCTGTTAACTTGTTTTACAAAGTTATTTCCCAACCATGAATAAAATACTTGGTGATTGTTTGAATGTTCTTGTCTTCCACAAGCTAATGCTGAATATTGATTTAAACTTTTTTAATGTTCCTATATGCCTGAGATACACATGATTTGAATTTTTATGAATGGAGTAATTATAAATGAAGCAATCAATTATAACAATAAATCATTCTTTTATATTTGAGGGGAAAAAGCCTAATAAGAATGTTAAAGAATAATTATGTTCTTTTTGTTGATTTTGTTGTGAAACTCCTTATGTCTCCTAGTTTTTGATGGCACATTTTATTGTGTCACTGAAAGCAAGTACCTTAAAAGATATTTAAAATCCTAAAATAATAGATTCTATAATAGACATTGAAAATGTACTTCAACCTTCTCATTTTACATATGAACAAATAAATACAGAGCATTTGGAGACACAGCTGTGAATAAAGTAAATGTCTTCTGTGGTCTTTCTTAATTTATTCTAAGAAAGTTTTTCCAACATAATATATAACCTTCTAAATCTCCTTAAAACATTATGTCATTATTTTAAAGTATATATTGTATAAATAAATGTTTTTAAGAAAATGATATTCTAGAAGAATATACTTATGATATTTTATTGCAGTGTTTATTAACATTTAATATTTAATAATATTCAGAATATATAATGAAGGTAAATTTTTACTTTCCCCAATTTTTTCTCAGATTAAAACTTATTCTCCCATATAGGTTTTTACTTTCCCCAATTAAAAATAATATATTTTATTAAAGTTATTTAATAAAAAGAAGCTTCAAATTATCTGTTGTCTAAACTCCATCACTTCCTCTTTCACATTCATGTTGTACTGCACCAAAATTTAGTGCCTTGAAACAACATTGGTCAAATCCACAATTGTATGGTTTGACAATTTTGGCTGCTGGTCTTAGCTAGACCCATGTATACTAGTGGGAAGCTGCTAGTCAGCCAAAAGACTCACCTTCTGGCTCTTGGATGAAATGACAAGGATTACTGAAACAATGGTCTCTTCTCACCTAGCAAATTATCCTGGATTTCTTCATATGGTGATGGTCAGGCATGTTTTAAGAAGACCAAGAAGTAGAACAGGACTCGATGCAAAAGCATTTCCAAGTATCTGCTTATGCCATGCTTGCTATTGTCTCATTGCTCACATACTATGAGGACAACCCCATATTCAACATGTAAAAGCACAACCCACATAGCAGAGACAGGAGGGCGTGAATAAATGGAAGGTCATTACTGAAACAATCTAGTAAGCATGGCTCTAGCACTAATAATTTACCTGCTTCCCACAAGTAAAGTACATTTACTCTCTCACAAAATACCAAAATTCTCATATAATCTAAGCATCAGGCATAAAGTCCAGATTTTTGTGATTCACTGTGATGCTGGATATCAGTGAGGCACCATATTGAAAAACATGTTATTTTCACTACACAAACACAACTTCTGATGGTGACACAGAATAGAAGAACGACAAAAAATGCTGCCATTTCAAAAGGAGAAAAATGATAACCACATGCATTTCATGATCCATAGCAATTCTGAAACAAAATTGGGCAAATAGGTCATATTTTCCAGTTTCAGGGGAAAACATGCTCCCTGACGAAGCCATATTCCTTTTCCAGTGAGCGACTTCCCATATTTCCTTCATGTTCCCTGGCTCTACCCTCTGAGATATCCTTTATTTTTTTTCATCCTCCTTAGATATTTCTGGAGAGTTCAAAGGATAATATTTTCTTACAGAAATTTTCTTAACCTATTTTCTTTTCTTTTTTTTTTTTTTTTTTTTTTTTTTTTATAAAGGAAAGATGTTTAATTGACTCACTGTTCTGCATGGCTGGGAAGGCCTCAGGGAACTTACAATTATGGCGGAAGGTGAAGGAGAACCAAGTACCTTCTTTACAAGGTGGCAGGAGAGAGAGTGTGTGTGTGCACAGGGGAAACTGCTACTTTAAAAACATCAGATCTCATGAGAACTCATTCACCATAACAAGAACAGCACAGGGGAAATGGCTCCCACGATACAATCACCTCCCACCAGGTTCCTCTCTCAACAGTTGGGGATTACAATTCTAGACGAGATTTGGGTGGCGACACAGGGCCAAACCATAGCACATCTCTGATTTCTGTTTTAATCTACTGGTCTTGGTCTACCTTGATTTCCACTAGGGAAAAGGGGAATGTGTCCCCTAGAACTATGTTTCTTTTTTTTTTTTTTTTTTTGAGACGGAGTCTCGCTCTGTCGCCCAGGCTGGAGTGCAGTGGCGGGATCTCCGCTCACTGCAAGCTCCGCCTCCCGGGTTCACGCCATTCTCCTGCCTCAGCCTCCCGAGTAGCTGGGACTACAGGCGCCCGCCACTACGCCCGGCTAATTTTTTTTTTTTTTTTTTTTTTTTATTATACTCTAAGTTTTAGGGTACATGTGCACATTGTGCAGGTTAGTTACATATGTATACATGTGCCATGCTGGTGCACTGCACCCACTAATGTGTCATCTAGCATTAGGTATATCTCCCAATGCTATCCCTCCCCCCTCCCCCGACCCCACCACAGTCCCCAGAGTGTGATATTCCCCTTCCTGTGTCCATGTGATCTCATTGTTCAATTCCCACCTATGAGTGAGAATATGCGGTGTTTGGTTTTTTGTTCTTGCGATAGTTTACTGAGAATGATGGTTTCCAATTTCATCCATGTCCCTACAAAGGATATGAACTCATCATTTTTTATGGCTGCATAGTATTCCATAGTGTATATGTGCCACATTTTCTTAATCCAGTCTATCATTGTTGGACATTTGGGTTGGTTCCAAGTCTTTGCTATTGTGAATAGTGCCGCAATAAACATACGTGTGCATGTGTCTTTATAGCAGCATGATTTATACTCATTTGGGTATATACCCAGTAATGGGATGGCTGGGTCAAATGGTATTTCTAGTTCTAGATCCCTGAGGAATCGCCACACTGACTTCCACAATGGTTGAACTAGTTTACAGTCCCACCAACAGTGTAAAAGTGTTCCTATTTCTCCGCATCCTCTCCAGCACCTGTTGTTTCCTGACTTTTTAATGATTGCCATTCTAACTGGTGTGAGATGATATCTCATAGTGGTTTTGATTTGCATTTCTCTGATGGCCAGTGATGATGAGCATTTCTTCATGTGTTTTTTGACTGCATAAATGTCTTCTTTTGAGAAGTGTCTGTTCATGTCCTTCGCCCACTTTTTGATGGGGTTGTTTGTTTTTTTCTTGTAAATTTGTTTGAGTTCATTGTAGATTCTGGATATTAGCCCTTTGTCAGATGAGTAGGTTGCGAAAATTTTCTCCCATTCTGTAGGTTGCCTGTTCACTCTGATGGTAGTTTCTTTTGCTGTGCAGAAGCTCTTTAGTTTAATTAGATCCCATTTGTCAATTTTGTCTTTTGTTGCCATTGCTTTTGGTGTTTTGGACATGAAGTCCTTGCCCACGCCTATGTCCTGAATGGTAATGCCTAGGTTTTCTTCTAGGGTTTTTATGGTTTTAGGTTTAACGTTTAAATCTTTAATCCATCTTGAATTGATTTTTGTATAAGGTGTAAGGAAGGGATCCAGTTTCAGCTTTCTACATATGGCTAGCCAGTTTTCCCAGCACCATTTATTAAATAGGGAATCCTTTCCCCATTGCTTGTTTTTCTCAGGTTTGTCAAAGATCAGATAGTTGTAGATATGCGGCATTATTTCTGAGGGCTCTGTTCTGTTCCATTGATCTATATCTCTGTTTTGGTACCAGTACCATGCTGTTTTGGTTACTGTAGCCTTGTAGTATAGTTTGAAGTCAGGTAGTGTGATGCCTCCAGCTTTGTTCTTTTGGCTTAGGATTGACTTGGCAATGCGGGCTCTTTTTTGGTTCCATATGAACTTTAAAGTAGTTTTTTCCAATTCTGTGAAGAAAGTCATTGGTAGCTTGATGGGGATGGCATTGAATCTGTAAATTACCTTGGGCAGTATGGCCATTTTCACGATATTGATTCTTCCTACCCATGAGCATGGAATGTTCTTCCATTTGTTTGTCTCCTCTTTTATTTCCTTGAGCAGTGGTTTGTAGTTCTCCTTGAAGAGGTCCTTCACATCCCTTGTAAGTTGGATTCCTAGGTATTTTATTCTCTTTGAAGCAATTGTGAATGGGAGTTCACCCATGATTTGGCTCTCTGTTTGTCTGTTGTTGGTGTATAAGAATGCTTGTGATTTTTGTACATTGATTTTATATCCTGAGACTTTGCTGAAGTTGCTTATCAGCTTAAGGAGATTTTGGGCTGAGACGATGGGGTTTTCTAGATAAACAATCATGTCGTCTGCAAACAGGGACAATTTGACTTCCTCTTTTCCTAATTGAATACCCTTTATTTCCTTCTCCTGCCTGATTGCCCTGGCCAGAACTTCCAACACTATGTTGAATAGGAGCGGTGAGAGAGGGCATCCCTGTCTTGTGCCGGTTTTCAAAGGGAATGCTTCCAGTTTTTGCCCATTCAGTATGATATTGGCTGTGGGTTTGTCATAGATAGCTCTTATTATTTTGAAATACGTCCCATCAATACCTAATTTATTGAGAGTTTTTAGCATGAAGGGTTGTTGAATTTTGTCAAAGGCTTTTTCTGCATCTATTGAGATAATCATGTGGTTTTTGTCTTTGGCTCTGTTTATATGCTGGATTACATTTATTGATTTGCGTATATTGAACCAGCCTTGCATCCCAGGGATGAAGCCCACTTGATCATGGTGGATAAGCTTTTTGATGTGCTGCTGGATTCGTTTTGCCAGTATTTTATTGAGGATTTTTGCATCAATGTTCATCAAGGATATTGGTCTAAAATTCTCTTTTTTGGTTGTGTCTCTGCCCGGCTTTGGTATCAGAATGATGCTGGCCTCATAAAATGAGTTAGGGAGGATTCCCTCTTTTTCTATTGATTGGAATAGTTTCAGAAGGAATGGTACCAGTTCCTCCATGTACCTCTGGTAGAATTCGGCTGTGAATCCATCTGGTCCTGGACTCTTTTTGGTTGGTAAACTATTGATTATTGCCACAATTTCAGAGCCTGTTATTGGTCTATTCAGAGATTCAACTTCTTCCTGGTTTAGTCTTGGGAGAGTGTATGTGTCGAGGAATGTATCCATTTCTTCTAGATTTTCTAGTTTATTTGCGTAGAGGTGTTTGTAGTATTCTCTGATGGTAGTTTGTATTTCTGTGGGATCGGTGGTGATATCCCCTTTATCATTTTTTATTGTGTCTATTTGATTCTTCTCTCTTTTTTTCTTTATTAGTCTTGCTAGCGGTCTATCAATTTTGTTGATCCTTTCAAAAAACCAGCTCCTGGATTCATTGATTTTTTGAAGGG
Organism: Homo sapiens; assembly: GCF_000001405.40. NCBI lineage: Eukaryota > Metazoa > Chordata > Mammalia > Primates > Hominidae > Homo > Homo sapiens. Next base: position 155,059 of record NW_003315968.2, read on the forward strand.
TTTTTTGTGTCTCTATTTCCTTCAGTTCTGCTCTGATTTTAGTTATTTCTTGCCTTCTGCTAGCTTTTGAATGTGTTTGCTCTTGCTTTTCTAGTTCTTTTAATTGTGATGTTAGGGTGTCAATTTTGGATCTTTCCTGCTTTCTCTTGTAGGCATTTAGTGCTATAAATTTCCCTCTACACACTGCTTTGAATGCGTCCCAGAGATTCTGGTATGTGGTGTCTTTGTTCTCGTTGGTTTCAAAGAACATCTTTATTTCTGCCTTCATTTCGTTATGTACCCAGTAGTCATTCAGGAGCAGGTTGTTCAGTTTCCATGTAGTTGAGCGGCTTTGAGTGAGATTCTTAATCCTGAGTTCTAGTTTGATTGCACTGTGGTCTGAGAGATAGTTTGTTATAATTTCTGTTCTTTTACATTTGCTGAGGAGAGCTTTACTTCCAACTATGTGGTCAATTTTGGAATAGGTGTGGTGTGGTGCTGAAAAAAATGTATATTCTGTTGATTTGGGGTGGAGAGTTCTGTAGATGTCTATTAGGTCTGCTTGGTGCAGAGCTGAGTTCAATTCCTGGGTATCCTTGTTGACTTTCTGTCTCGTTGATCTGTCTAATGTTGACAGTGGGGTGTTAAAGTCTCCCATTATTAATGTGTGGGAGTCTAAGTCTCTTTGTAGGTCACTGAGGACTTGCTTTATGAATCTGGGTGCTCCTGTATTGGGTGCATAAATATTTAGGATAGTTAGCTCCTCTTGTTGAATTGATCCCTTTACCATTATGTAATGGCCTTCTTTGTCTCTTTTGATCTTTGTTGGTTTAAAGTCTGTTTTATCAGAGACTAGGATTGCAACCCCTGCCTTTTTTTGTTTTCCATTGGCTTGGTAGATCTTCCTCCATCCTTTTATTTTGAGCCTATGTGTGTCTCTGCACGTGAGATGGGTTTCCTGAATACAGCACACTGATGGGTCTTGACTCTTTATCCAACTTGCCAGTCTGTGTCTTTTAATTGCAGAATTTAGTCCATTTATATTTAAAGTTAATATTGTTATGTGTGAATTTGATCCTGTCATTATGATGTTAGCTGGTGATTTTGCTCATTAGTTGATGCAGTTTCTTCCTAGTCTCGATGGTCTTTACATTTTGGCATGATTTTGCAGCGGCTGGTACCGGTTGTTCCTTTCCATGTTTAGCGCTTCCTTCAGGAGCTCTTTTAGGGCAGGCCTGGTGGTGACAAAATCTCTCAACATTTGCTTGTCTATAAAGTATTTTATTTCTCCTTCACTTATGAAGCTTAGTTTGGCTGGATATGAAATTCTGGGTTGAAAATTCTTTTCTTTAAGAATGTTGAATATTGGCCCCCACTCTCTTCTGGCTTGTAGGGTTTCTGCCGAGAGATCCGCTGTTAGTCTGATGGGCTTTCCTTTGAGGGTAACCCAACCTTTCTCTCTGGCTGCCCTTAACATTTTTTCCTTCATTTCAACTTTGGTGAATCTGACAATTATGTGTCTTGGAGTTGCTCTTCTCGAGGAGTATCTTTGTGGTGTTCTCTGTATTTCCTGAATCTGAACGTTGGCCTGCCTTGCTAGATTGGGGAAGTTCTCCTGGATAATATCCTGCAGAGTGTTTTCCAACTTGGTTCCATTCTCCACATCACTTTCAGGTACACCAATCAGACGTAGATTTGGTCTTTTCACATAGTCCCATATTTCTTGGAGGCTTTGCTCATTTCTTTTTATTCTTTTTTCTCTAAACTTCCCTTCTCGCTTCATTTCATTCATTTCATCTTCCATTGCTGATACCCTTTCTTCCAGTTGATCGCATCGGCTCCTGAGGCTTCTGCATTCTTCACGTAGTTCTCGAGCCTTGGTTTTCAGCTCCATCAGCTCCTTTAAGCACTTCTCTGTATTGGTTATTCTAGTTATACATTCTTCTAAATTTTTTTCAAAGTTTTCAACTTCTTTGCCTTTGGTTTGAATGTCCTCCCGTAGCTCAGAGTAATTTGATCGTCTGAAGCCTTCTTCTCTCAGCTCGTCAAAATCATTCTCCATCCAGCTTTGTTCTGTTGCTGGTGAGGAACTGCGTTCCTTTGGAGGAGGAGAGGCGCTCTGCGTTTTAGAGTTTCCAGTTTTTCTGTTCTGTTTTTTCCCCATCTTTGTGGTTTTATCTACTTTTGGTCTTTGATGATGGTGATGTACAGATGGGTTTTCGGTGTAGATGTCCTTTCTGGTTGTTAGTTTTCCTTCTAACAGACAGGACCCTCAGCTGCAGGTCTGTTGGAATACCCTGCCGTGTGAGGTGTCAGTGTGCCCCTGCTGGGGGGTGCCTCCCAGTTAGGCTGCTCGGGGGTCAGGAGTCAGGGACCCACTTGAGGAGGCAGTCTGCCCGTTCTCAGATCTCCAGCTGCGTGCTGGGAGAACCACTGCTCTCTTCAAAGCTGTCAGACAGGGACACTTAAGTCTGCAGAGGTTACTGCTGTCTTTTTGTTTGTCTGTGCCCTGCCCCCAGAGGTGGAGCCTACAGAGGCAGGCAGGCCTCCTTGAGCTGTGGTGGGCTCCACCCAGTTCGAGCTTCCCTGCTGCTTTGTTTACCTAAGCAAGCCTGGGCAATGGCGGGCGCCCCTCCCCCAGCCTCGTTGCCGCCTTGCAGTTTGATCTCAGACTGCTGTGCTAGCAATCAGCGAGATTCCGTGGGCGTAGGACCCTCCGAGCCAGGTGTGGGATATAGTCTCGTGGTGCGCCGTTTCTTAAGCCGGTCTGAAAAGCGCAATATTCGGGTGGGAGTGACCCGATTTTCCAGGTGCATCCGTCACCCCTTTCTTTGACTCGGAAAGGGAACTCCCTGACCCCTTGCGCTTCCCAGGTGAGGCAATGCCTCGCCCTGCTTCGGCTCGCGCATGGTGCGCACACACACTGGCCTGCGCCCACTGTCTGGCACTCCCTAGTGAGATGAACCCGGTACCTCAGATGGAAATGCGGAAATCACCGTCTTCTGCGTCGCTCACGCTGGGAGCTGTAGACCGGAGCTGTTCCTATTCGGCCATCTTGGCTCCTCCCACCTATTTTCTTTTCATAAAGATGTGGAATCAGAGAATTTTTGGAGTTTGAACAGTCTCAGTGCCTTTCGATAAAGACTGCCAACTTGTTTCTGGGCATAACTCCATTAAACACTTGGCAAATTATCTATGAGTCTGATTTCTAAGAGTTGTAACTCGAAAGACACATCAGAAATTCTTTTTGAGTAATTGTCTCTCAATGTATTAACTGATACATTGGGCATTTAGTTTTCAGAGGGGCAAATCTTTAAAATGGTGAATTTTGTCTAATTGAGAGTAACTAAGAAGTACTGATTTTATTCTTTCAGAAGTCTTAACAAAGGATCTCACATTTAAGCCATTGATCTAATATATTCCATTAAGTTGCACTTTGCCTTCAAATCTTTTAAGTACCAGTTGCAGTACTGTACATAAGGGGCTTGAGCAGCTGCAGATTTTGGTATTTGTGGGAGAGTCTTAGAACCAATCCACTACAGGTAACAAGAGAAGATTGTAAGTCATCTAAGGATGTATAATAAATGTAGTGGCTTGAAACAACCACCTTTTGTTTGGATCGTAGTTCTTTCTGTGTGGCAATTTGGGATGGATATGACTGATTTGGTCTTCTCTTGGGTAGGTTCATTTATGTGTCTTCATTCTGTGGCCAGATGCAGTTAGCTAGTTGGGTATGTTTCTGGTGATTGTTAGCAGCCAACTAGGAGCAGGTGCACTACATTTCTGTAACAATTTTACAGGATTCTTCTCATGGAAGCAGTGTCAGGGATCCTAAAAACAGCAAGAGGAAGATAAAACCTTAAAGACCTAGCCCTTTTCTCCAGCCTCAGGTTTTGTTATGACTGCTATCGTACTACTAAACCAAGTCAGTATATTGTCAGCCTCATCAGTGTGGGTATGACCAGCTGAGAATGTGGATCCATGGAGGTATTAACAAACTATGGTACATTACTGCAACCCTATATCAAACTGACTCCCATTTGATAATCCTTTTTATCTCACTGAACAAAATAAAAACTTGTAGTAAAGATGAGAATTTGCATAAATAACCATTATCTTGTCTGTTCAACCTCAGATATTATATCATTTGAAAAATAATTAATGATAGGAAAGTTGAAAACAAAATGGCAGTAGTCAAATTAGTTTCTGTGGCTCCAGCATACAACCCATTCTATTTTCTTCAGTCCACGAATGGCACCACCAACAGTTACTTTGCCTCAAGTATGGGACAATGCAGCTAATACCAAAGTCCTGTTCAAAAGCCACACTTACAAAGTTAAAGTAAATTGAGCCTTCTATATTCAGTTCTTGTTTCCTTACGCTCTTGCTCCTGTATCTTAATGAGTGTTCTATTAATTTTGCAGTGACTTTCTTCCTTAATGTTCATAGCTTAATAAACTCTGCCTACTGATTTAAAACCTAATCAATATTCACTAAGTGTTTGCTAATTATTTAAATAAGAGCATGCATAATTTTGGGGAGAACTAAATCTGATGACAATTTGATGGAAATGTAGTTTATTACTGCTTTAGGACTGAGGATTTCATTCTGTGTGTGGCTCATTTGTGGGAAGAATTAATACATGTTTTATTTTAAAATGGCTAGGATTAGTAAAGAAACATCCCTGAAAAGGGGGATAACGACCTAACTTTGTGGATGTGATTTTTTGTTTGCTTATGATTTTTATAGTGAATATAGGCTCTGAAATTAAACAGAGAGATACTACAACTATGGAGTTTTTTTAACTGTTGCAATCTATGAAATGGTATCTCTCTATACTTTCTCAAATAGCCCAATACTTGAGTATTATTCATAGGGATAAGTCTTTCCTAAAATTCTCATAACAATTTAAAGGAAAACTTGAAAATTCTTTAAATATCTGCTTAAAAATCTTCTACTCCATGGATGGGAGCAATAAATCAGAAGACAAAACTCTATAAGGTTAAGTGTTTTACAATAACTCTCTTATTCAAATTTATTCCAGAAGTATACATTTCTTCACCAGCAAAGCTCTTTTCTAAAGGATTAGATAAAATTATAGTGTTAATTAAAAATAAATTACTTCTACATTAAGAGGGTGATGAATTTAAATGAATAAAATAATAGCCTATCTGGAAAATTGAGATAGTTACATTCCTTTTTTATTCTTTCTCACGACTAGGGCAACTTTCCAAAAGGGGCATGCTTTGGACTTGGGGGCAACTGAGAAGTATACATACAGATAATAAATGAAAAATAAAGCACAAAAGTTAGCTTTTTCATGGAGGATATGCTGTAACTCTGCTGTCAGTCATTTTAAAAATTGTAACAACTGGAAGAGATGTCAACTGATCAAATTTCCAAGAGCTCATACCTTACATAGGGAACATAGTCATATTCACAGTTAATTTTAATAGTTTCAGCATCTTTGACAGCAGTGGAATGCTATCCACTTAGTTCGCAGATATAACACCATAATCCATTAAAATAAATTGCCTGTAAAAGGAGCTAGTGTTCTTAAAGTTATGTAAGTGTTGAGAAGGAAGAAGGAAAAGGAGAAAGAAATTGTTGCAAAAAATGTACCTTATTCATTTCTTTATTGAGATCCTCTTTTGCAAAATATAAATAGATAAAAGAAAAAATAAAAATTTTCCTGTTCACAGAATAAAATAATGCACAGAATTATCTTACATCTGTACTATGAAGTGGGCCATTAGAGACCTTCTAAAGTCTAATACAAGTAATGCAAAAGCACAAAAGGAGATTAACTTTGCAACTTGACAAATAGATGCAAGAATAAGAAAAAAATACTTAGGACAATTAACACAAAATACACATCATTACAGACATTTAGTCAATCATCATCATCATCATGACCTTCCTGCATCTTCCATCTATATTTTTATATCTACTTGGTTCCCTCATTTTGTTTTTGTAACTGATACAGTCATTTTAAAGAAGAAGTTAATTTATTCAATTGAGTCAGTGTTTGACTGAACTCACTGATTGTTTCAGAAAATGTTCTGTAAATACACACTGCCCAAATGCTGCTGCTTTGACTTATTGTCTCAGAGACTCCCATACATATTTAAGTGGTCAAAAGAAGCATGTAGTAAATTTTTTATTTCTGACAGTGGCAGCTGCTGCTGCTGTTGCTGCTTCTTGAGTCTACTTAGTTTGTCAGCCATTTTCTTCTGTTATATTTCTTTTCCAATTCTGTGGTATTCCTTCCTTATGTGTGTTTATCTCATATGTCAGGATTTTGCTTTTATTGTCATTGCTATGTCAATACAGAATTTTGAAAAAATATTTTTATTCAGTATAATTGACATATTTTGACTTTGAAGTTTAGAATAACTAAAATATTAATGAATTTCATTTAATGATTTATTAAATTAATATATTTAATGTGACATGTTTATATAGTTATAGTACATCTTTTTTTTTTTTTTTTTTTTTTTTTGAGACAGAGTCTCCCTCTGTCCCCCAGGCTGGAGTGCAGTGGCGTGATCTTGGCTCACTGCAACCTCCGCCTCCCAGGTTCAAGTGATTCTCCTGCCTTAGCCTCCCGAGTAGCTGGGACTAAAGGTGCATGCCACCACGCCTGGCTAAGTTTTGTATTTTTAGTAGACACGGGGCTTCACCATGTTGGCCAGGATGGTCTTGATCCTTGATCTCTTGACCTTGTGATCTGCCTGCCTCGGCCTCCCAATGTGCTGGGATTGCAGGCGTGAGCCACCGCATCCAGCCATTATAGTACATCTTATAACAATTTCTGTTCTAGGATAAATTTTATGCATTTAAACTTTATCACAAAAATAATATGGAACTCATCTGACCCTAAAAGGAGTGACATAGGCAACATTACATTACATAGGCAACATAGTCATATTCGCAGTTAATTTTAATAGTTTGAGTATCTTTGAGTGAAGAGATAAGTCATCCTTACTTGTGAGAGCAATGTTGCAAACATCAAACTAGGCTCACACTATTTTTTATGAAAGGAGATTCCATATGGGAATCAATGAAAGAGTTGAAAATAAGATTTAATTTAATTAAAAGAAACAGAAACAATACATTCTCATACAGTCCAAAGAAGGTAAAAATAAGCATTTGTAGTTCATGTTGATAATTGACAAACTTTAAAAGTATATTCTTGACTCTTATTAGTTTTAGGTTCAATCAGGTCCCAGTTAATATTAAAGTTTTACTTAAAGATATATCAACCATATAATGCTGTTATACTTATTGTTGCCATAAATGGCCTCTCTTTTATTCAGAGACCACACTACAATTTTGGAACTGGAGTTCAGACCCAGGGTGCTCCATGTCTCCTCTAATATTCAAAATAATTTTGTAGTGGATTAAATCATTGAATTCACCGCAGATGACAGATAGGTGATAGATAGATGAAAGATAGATAGATAGATAGATGATAGATATTATTTTGTAGTGGATTAAATCTTTGAATTCATGGTAGATGATAGCTAGCTAGCTAGCTAGCTAGATAGATAGATATTATTTTGTAGTGGATAAAATCATTGAATTCACAGTAGACGATAGATGATTGATAGGTAGAGAGATAGATAGATAGATGATAGATATTTAAAGCATAATTATATATGCTTTAAAAACTCTAACAAGAATTATATACAGAAAGATAAAACGCAAAGGGCATATAGATATTTAAAGCATAAATATGAAGTGAAAAAAGATTCAAAGCACAAAAGTTAGCTATTTCATGGAAGAAATATCTCTCCTGTCAGTCATTTTAAAAATTGTATATGCTTTAAATATCCATATGCCCTTTGCATTTTATCTTTTTGTATATAATTCTTGTTAGAGTTTTCAGCAAATAAAAATTGCCCAATAAATACTGTTGAACATTTGTTCTTCATTACCTCATACCACCTGCAATGATAGGATTATTCTCATGAATATAATTAAATTATTATTGGCACATTATAAGTAGGCTTTCTTTAATGTAATTTAATTAGTGCAATCCAAATGCAGAGGAAAATTGACAAGCTAGTACAGAATTTAAAATAACAGACTATACAAAAGTATAGAGGTGTATCTGAAGCTGCTTTTGAAAGAGCTTCTTCATCTCTCTCACCAGTGAATTGCTTTAACAGCCCCTTCCTTGGCATATTTTAATCTAATCAACTCAGCAGTGCAGTTCTTGGGAACCAGTATGTCAGTGATGTGTGCCATGTTTACATTTCAGAAACATAAATAAAGATAATAAACATTGTGATTTATTTAAGTAGTCAGCAGGTACTATGACTTGTTATTCTCTCCTAATTAAATAAAATAAATAATGAAATAGAAAATAAAATTGTTTAATCGCAGAAGCAACCAAATCATGGAGGTAGATTCATTCTCTATTTCTGTGTAGAAATTTTTTAAAGGGTATGTTGCATAGGTTATTTTTTGAGAAAACTTTTAACCTTACACACTAGAATATTAATTTCTTATTTGAAGAAGAGAGAATGTATTTGGGATTATGTATTTATTTAACAAATTTTTTAATGCTTGCCATTTTCAGGTCCTTTGTAAGTCCCCATGTATTCAGAAATTAGTAAAATATAAAAGATCTTTGCCATCTTGGTTCTTAAGGGTGGATGGTGATATGGTTTGGCTGTGTTCCCACCCAAATCTCATCTTGAATTGTAGCTCCCATAATTCCCATGTGTTGCAGGAGGGACCTGGTGGGAGATAATTGAATCATGGTGGCGGTTCCCCCATGCTGTTCCAGTTGTAATGAATAAGTCTCATGAAATCTGATGGTTTTATAAGGGTAAACCACTTTTGCTTGCCTCTTATTTTCTCTCTCGTCTGCCGGATATAAGACATGCCTTTTGCCTTCTGCCATGATTGTGAGGCCTCCTCAGCCACGTGGAACTGAGTCCATTAAACCTCTTTTTCTTTATAAATTACCCAGTCTCAAGTATGTCTTTATCAGCAGCATGAAGATGAGAAAGAAAGCAGTGGAGGTCCACTTCTTGCACCAGAAACGGTTTTTATTCTATATATTATCAAATTCTAGCAAGATTTTGTAACTTACTATGCTTATATAATTTATATGTAAATATAAGAGGTACTGTCTTTTATGAAAGAAATAACTAGAAAATAAATTATTTTCAACATAAACTTTTAGGTTTAATTAATTTTAATAAAGAATGAAAGTATGATTATTTGTATAATATATAATTTTATCTTAAAAATAATTTATGTGTACATTTTGATCATTTAAAATTCGAGCCAACAGATATTTATAAAGCATATCCTAACATCAATGCTAAAGACTTATTATATGAAAAATATCATCTAACAAATATATAAAAGATACAATTGGTTAAATTAATAATTTAAATGAAGTTCTTTTGTATTATTCAGTCTCTAGACAGTTTGATTGTATGTAGCAAGCTGCAATAAAATGCTTTAAGAAACAAATTAACATTCTTCAGACAAAGCCCGTACTAAACCTGAACATACCGAATGACTTCTAGATCTGGGAAAAGAAAATAATTACTAAATAAACAAAATTGCATTTAACACTAGGGAGCTGCTTTTTGACAAAACTTGTGATATGAAAGTAGCTATTGTTCTCTTAGTCATCAGATGTTTCAGTTGTTAATATACTTTGATTATGAAACTTAGAGAACATGGACTTTCCATATGACTGTATTCTTCATATATTTTAATAACTTCAGTATATTGCAAAATTTGAAAACTGTATTCTTTATATTTTGTCTAGTGAAGAAGAAAGACCTAAGTTTTATTTACTGGTATATATTCAATCCAATAATATGTCATGTCAGTTAATATCTGGTATGTAAATAATTTACTTTCTTAATAATAATTCTATTTTTTGGGCTGGCTGCATTCCTATAGAGTCAACTTATTAGGTATGAATCACTATTTATATTCAACAGGATTTTTAAATGTGTTAAATAAAATTTAAAATAACTGATGGATATAACCATAAGCATGCCATTTGAAATTTTTTGCCTTTTAATGAGTGCCCAATACTAAATTATTCGCCAGATATTCTTAAGTTTAGATTTGTAAGCTTAATAAGAAATTATTTACCTTTGGGAGCTGTGATTCATAGAAAGATATTTAAGTAACACAATCTTTAGTACTAATACCATTAATTTCTTAAATGTCAGTTAACACCTGCATGATATACCTTTTTTAAAGAAGACAGTGACTGTTGTGAATAATTTTCATGCATCAATCAAATTACATTTCCTGAGTTGCATGTGTCTTATTTGAATAAATAATATAGAGCCCTGGGCCAAACCAGTAGCACAATTATAGTTTACATATAAACCCAAATCTGTATCCTGTTATATAGTACACACCTTTTTCTCTGGTAGTAATTGCTAAAATCTGAAAACTAATCCTTCAGTTTTCTGCCATTCTCTGTGGGTAGTCAGATGGAAATAGCACAATATGGTTCCATCATAGGGCAGTGAATATTGTATATTTGATCTTAAAAATAAAATAGGAAATAAAATTAGAATAATGAGTATTAACAAAAGAAAGCTAAAACTGAAGCTTTGCAAAAACTGATAAATGAAAGTACCTCTGGCAATACCATTCCATAAAATATTAAGATTTCCTGAATTGAAATTTTTCCAAATATCTTGGGTTTAAAAAATACTGAAAAGTTTGGATTTAATGTATACTTATATACTAAATGTCTAAGCATCCAGCCCTCTCCACATACTTAGTTTTCATAGCTGCTAATAGCCAGTTCTATATATTATGTTGTTAGGATTCTATCAAGTTCAATAGGAAATTATTAAAGAAAATAAGAATTCTCCAGGGAAATGCCACTGCCCAATAAATTATAATAAAGAGTACTGCTAGCAAGCCAAAATAATGAGTCTAGAGCATTCTGTTAACAACTCAGAAACTCAAATTTAAATACAAACCAAATACAAGCATCAACACACATCTTTGAAAACCTACTACCATGAAAGATAGAGACTAAAACAAACAAATGGAAAAAAACAACTTGAAGGGAAGGAGATTCTATTAAGACGAAGACACTTTCACAACTGAATTGTTCATATCAAAGAAGCAGGTGAAAAATTATAGTCAATGGAAAATGAAACAAAAACAATAACAGGGCACTAAAACATGGATGGATTGAAAGAACAAAAAGAGATTCTGGATACTATAATTATGGGAGCCTGCCACTCCTTAGGCGTTAATCACAGAAAAATTTACATTTCCATTCATGCAAAAATATTTATACAAATATTCATAGCAGTTCCATTTGAAACAACCAAACACTGGAACAACCCAAATGTCCTTCATGGGTAAGTGGTGACACACACTGTGGCACTTCCTTGCCTTGGAATAAAACTCATCAACAAAAAAGGAGCAATCTATGAATGCATATAACAACTTGGAATTCTCAAGAGAATTATGCTCACCAAAAAAAGCATCACAAAATGTTTCATATCATATGACTCAATTTGTATCGTGTTCTTGAAATAACATAGAGATGGAGACAGATTAGTGGCTGGCAGAGATTAAGGATTGAAGAGGAGGAGCTGGATATGATGGATATGACTATAAAGTGGTAGCACAAAGAAACTCTGTGGTGATGAACAATTTGGTATCTTGATGGCGATGGTGGTTACACAATCCTACACACATGATAAAGTTGCATGAATGTACACAAACACACACATTGCTTATAAAACTAGTAAATTAGGTAAATTAGAATAAACTCTGTGGATTATGCATATGTCAGTGTATTGGTTTTGCTGGTGCACTATAGTTATGCAAGATGTTACTACTAGGAGAATCCAAGTGAAGGATACATGAAACGTCTTTATATATATATATATTTTTTGAAATTTTCAATGAATTGATTATTTCAAAATAATATTTTAGAAATATGGTAGGCTAAATTTTTAAAAATACTATTTTTGGAAATAGTAATAAAGTGTGCTTTCCAGGAAAAGTATAACAGTCATGGACAATGGGAATAATTCAGAACCAGTCCAAGATGTTCAATAACTGAATAACAACTAACTCTAATGGCAGAACAAAAAACAAATAGAGAAAGATTATTCTGAGTTACAACTGGCACAATAGTTTACATTTTCTAATCAAAAATTACTTTTCATTGCTCTCCAAAATGAATTTTGAATATAATACATAGTGCCTACTTATAAATGGCTTACTCTCAGTGGGAGTCAGCAAATGATGGCCTGAGAGCCAAATCTTGACAACCACCTGTTTTGGGAAGTCTGCAAAAATTAAAAAATGCTTTTAAAAAATAATTTTACTGAATAAAGACAAGGTGATGTATATATACACCATGGAATACTATGCAGCCATTAAAAAGAATGAGGTCATGTCCTTTGCAGCAACACAGATGGAACTGGAGGTTATTATCCTTAGCAAATTAATGCAGGAACAGATAACCATATACTGAATGTTCTTGCTTACAAATGGGAGCTAAGCAATGAGAATACATGGTCACAAAGAGGGGTACAACGGAGACTGAGGCCTACATGAAGGTGGAGTGTGGGAGGAGGGGAAGGATTAAAAAAATGTCCATCAGTTACTATGCTTATTACCTGGGTGATGAAATAATCTGTACCACAAACCCCCATGACACACAGTATACCTATATAACAGGCCTGTACATATAACCCTGAACCTAAAGTAAAAGTTAAATAATAATAATTTGAAATCATTACATTATAAATGGTTATATAAATACCTACATAATATCTTCAATTTTTTTATCTGGTTAGCAAGCCTGAAATTTTTACCATCTGGCCCTTTAAGAAAAAAAATCTGCTAACCTCTCATCTAGAGGAATCTGAGAAACAGATCTTCTATAGAGATAAGGTTTAGATGATGCCAGAGAGTAACCTAATTATAAAAATTAAAAGTTATGTCAGGTAGGAAACATCTTCTCCATTCCGGAGAGGGACAGCTTTTTTGACATTGGTAAACAAATTAAATTGAGAAACATTCAGAAAATTCATTGTAATTTGAAAATCAAATGCATACCAGCAATAGAATTTAACAAGCCCAGAATATACCCCGACACAAAAAAACAAAAACAAAAACAAAAAAAAACCCAGAAGCCAAAAACAAACAAACAAACAAAAAACATGGAGTTTGGTAATTACTTTCATAGAATGAAAAGCACAGTGTAGGCCAGGCACGGTGGCTCAGTGATACGCCTGTAATCCCAACGCTCTGGGAGGCCCCGCGGAGTGGATTACTTGAGCCCAGGAGTTTGAGACCAGCCTGGGCCACATGGCGAGACCCCATTTCTAATTAAAAAGAAAACAAAAAGAGGAAAAGTGTAGTGTGTAATAGTTCTGAATAACTTCATTCCACATCCACCCCCACCGAATTGGTTAATATCTATAATTAGTTTGTTTCATGGTGTCAAAGAAATTTTATATTAACCAAGAAATTCAAGAAGGTCCTCAAAAACCTCTTTTTGAGCATGTTTTAACACACCAAAAATTTTCAAAGGAGAATAATGTGTAATAGTTTATTTTATATAAGCAAAAATATTTTAAACATGTACTAATTTATTAAAGATAATGTAAAGTACAGAGAGCTAGCACATTCTTTTTGGTCAAATATGTTTTTTCTTAGCATTAATGATATGTAAAACCAGAACCACAAACAGTAACTAAACACGTTGATATTTTACCAGATGACAGTTTTACTTGTGTTAAAAACAGAATCATAAACAGTAACTAAACACATTGATATTTTACCAGATGACAGTTTTACTTGTGTTAAACATTAAAAATGGAAATAGGCTGGGTGCAGTCCTCATGCCTATAATCCCAGCACTTTAGGAGGATTGAGCCTAGGAGTTTGAGACCATCCTGGGCTGGTTTGATGAGTTTGACTCCATCTGTTCCAAAAATAAAAGTAAAAAAATTGGCCAGGTGTGGTGGTACATGCCTGTGATTTCAGCAACTTGGGAGGCTGAGATGAGGGGATTGCTTGAGTCCAGGAGGTTGAGGCCGCAATGAGCAAAGACTATGCCACTGCACTCCAGCCTGGGTGACAGAGCAAGAATGTCTCAAAGAAGAAAAATAATAAGTAAATACAAATAAAATGAAAAATAAAAAGTGGAAATAAGTATTTGTAACAATAGCATGTGCCAGAAGATTCTGTTTTTCATAGGATCGTTTCACAAATCAAATTTTCCAAAATCAGATGTTAAAACAGATTTTGAGATACAAACTGTTTATTAGGGATCAACAGTTATTAAAGGAAGTGGGTGGAAGCCAGATTGGGCAAAAGAAGTGCAAATGCAACAAAATCCAAACTATTATTGGCTGATCCAGCATCACGGTTTCAAAGAAAATTTGGTATGAAATACAAAATGCATAGTCATTCCAGGTTCTATAAATATTTTTCTGAGTACATTTTTTAAATCTCAAGGAGAGATACAACTTATACCCAAAAAATAACATTTAGTATGAGAAAAATATTTTAAATATTTACTAAATCATTGACAGAATTTAAGATTCTATGAGCTTACTAATAGAATTCTTTTAGAATAATCTTTTCTCCTAGATGAGAGTAAGTAATATGCAAAAAAAATTGGACAGCTAAACAAAGCACACTGTAATTGCAACAAACTCTTCTGATTATAAACCTTCCAATATTTTACTTTTCCAAAATCAAAGGAAAATGAGCCTGCATATTTTACCTAAATGTGTAATAATTACTACTAAAAATTGCACTATATTTAATAAGCCTGAGGAGACCATTCAGTTCAGCATTCTGTGTTAACTTGACATAAAGATCACGTATTCATTAATATTTTGCCACAATAATCTCAAATTTCATACATGCAATTAGTAAGAAGTTTCCATTCAATACCAAGAATTGAGAGTAAAACCAGACTTTCTATAATTTTGTGTTTAATTTGTAGATGAAATATCATACCAACATTTCAGTTAACCTTATGAACATTTTGCTTAAATCCTTCAATATTTTGTTTTGAAACATGAATATACCTTCTCTGCAATTATAAATTATTCAGTTTACAAAGGATCAATCACATTGTTGCTTTCTTTTTTTGAGGTTTTAAGCTATTTTAATCTGGTCCTTCAATTGGTGGTGGTTTTTTTTTTTTCCAAATACACATATTCACATTTCTAAAAGTCAAATGGCTCAACGAGGTTTTTACCAAAAAGTAGATTCCTTTTTTTCACTTTACTCATTTCTCCCTTCCCAGAGACACAGGGTTTCAACTTGTTCAGTACTAACTTTCTTCTAAGCTATTTTGCATTGTAAGGGAGAAAATATAATTTCTTTTTTCCTCTCATATTTTCTTAGTTGAGATATTCTCCTGAAAACTAAAGTAAGACTAACAAGAGAAAAACCAGAAGTTTATTAACAGGTGCTGTGCTCATCATGCAGGAGAGGCCTCAGTTCAAAAATATTTCTCTCTCAAGGCAGTGGCTTGGGGGCCTGGTTTAAGTAGTATTTTTTTTTAAGCCATAAATCCTATGTAATGACAAGACAAAGTAAAGTGCATCTTCAGGCTTCCAAAAGGTGAGAAAATGTTGGAAGGTAAATTTCTGGGAAAAGTGGTCTTTTCCTAGACCTGCTGGTGCTACCGTCTCTGAGCTGATAAGCAAGCATCGTAAAGAGGGAAAAGGCAGAGATGGGTGCAAAAAGACCTTTTTCTTTGTAATTTGCTGTCCTGCCATCAGGAATTTGGAGCAAGGAATAGAGCCTTCTTTATCTCAGCACTCCCTGGTATTTCAGACAGAAATATTTTGGTTTCTTTCAGCATCAAATAATGTGTAAATTTCAAATACATGTCAAAATCTTTTTTAGCTCTAATCTGGGGTGGTAGTTAGCTGGGTCTTGGGCATTATGCCCATCTTGCCAACGCTATTCATCTCTTTCCTGGATAGAATGATTTTTTTTTCTTTTCCTATTCCTCATTTAGTCCTAATTTTGGGTAAAACACTTCTAGTTACTTACTAAGGGAGGTTGCATGAGTGGTAATTTTTTGAGATTGTATTCATTTAATTAAACTCTCGTATTTGATAGACAATTGCTTGGATATTGAATTTTTGCCAAACCTTATTTTGTTTATTTTGGATGCATTGCTCCATTAAACTATAACAAATCACATGTCTGTAGGCTTCACTGTTCTTACCTTTAAAAAGTGTTATCTTTAAAAAGAAAATGCATAAAGAAATTATTACAAATCTATGCTAATTGTAATACAGTGTATAATGAGGTCATTTGTGATAAAAGTAGTATAAAAGAGTGATGAAACATGGCAATAGAGGAGCAAATATTTGAATATTATTGAAATTACATTCCTATTAATCTGACTTGGATTGTTGTAAATCATGATGTTAATGAAAATGGCATACCCCTACAGGTTTAGAAAATCCAGAAAGGGTACAGCATTCATTGAAAGGATATCAAGTAATCTTTTTTGTATATTTCAAAGTGAAGTAACCAGACTGATACATCCCTAGTGATGCTCACCCTCAGAACCTGTGAGCATGTTATCTTGTTATGAAAAATAAAACTTGCAGATGTGATTAAGATTAAGGACCTTCAGGTGAGGAGATTATTCTGGTGATATGATTTGGCTGTGTCCCCACCCAAATCTCAACTTGAATTGTATCTCCCAGAATTCCCACATGTTGTGAGAGGGACCTAGGGGGAGGTAATTGATTCATGGGGGCTGGTCTTTCCTGTGCTATTCTCATGATGATGAATAAGTCTCATGAGATCTGATGGGTTTATCGGGAGTTTCTGCTTTTGATTCTTCCTCATTTTCTCTTGCCACTCCCATGTAAGAAGTGCCTTCTGCCTCCCGCCATGATTCTGAGGCCTCCCCAGCCATGTGGAACTCTAAGTCCAATTAAACCTCTTTTTCCTCCCAGTCTCAGGTATGTCTTTATCAGCAGCGTGAAAATGAACTAATACACCTGGATTAACTAGGCAGCCTAATCTAAACACTTTGACTCCTTAAAAGTGATAATCTTTCCTGAGTGAAGTAGAAGTATGAGAATAAGGAGAGATTTCAAGTGTGAAACTGCCTCACCGTAAATGGCTTTCAAGATAGAGGAAGGAAGATGAAAGATGAGCCAAGAAATGTGGGTAGCCTCAAACAGCTGGAAACAGTCCTCACTGACAGCCAGTAAGAAAAGAAGGATTTAAGTTCAACAACTACAAGGGTCAGAATTTGGCTAATGACCTGTATGAGCAAAAGAACAATACCTACCTCAAATCCTTCAGAAAGGAAATACCTTTATTTTAGTCCTGTGAGACCTGTAAGATAATACATATGTGTAGTTTTTGGTTTTTTGTTTTAGTTTTTGTTTTTTTCTGAGATGGAATCTTGCTCTGTGCACCAGGCTGGAGTGCCCTGGCGCGATCTCGCCTCACTGCAAGCTCCACCTCCCGGGTTCGCACCATTCTCCTGCCTCAGCCTCCCGAGTAGCTGGGACTACAGATGCCCGCCACCGTGCCCGGCTAATTTTTTGTATTTTTAGTAGAGACGGGGTTTCACCGTGTTAGCCAGGATGGTCTTGATCTCCTGACCTCGTGATCCGCCCACCTCGGCCTCCCAAAGTGCTGGGATTACAGGCGTGAGCCACTGCGCCTGGCCCTACATGTGTGTAGTTTTAAGCTAACAAGTGTGTGATGATTTACTAAGGCATCACTACAAACCAATACATGCATTTTGAAAATAAAGATAGAATACCTATATGAATTAACGAACTGGCATGAACAGTGGGAAGGGGTAGTGGTATCACTGCTTCATTTCCAGAGCAAATGACATAGTTTCATAATTTAAATGTGGATTACATTTAAATAGTGATGAGAGAAGTAAAGAATGTACCCCAGAAACAGTTTGAAGTTCCAAGAAAAGTGGATGAGCATTACACTTTCCCAGAATTAAAAAGCCATCAATGTGACTGGACCAGTATATTATAGTAAATGAATAATAAAGTAAATAATCATATGTTGTCAAGTTCTAAAATTCTCTGTACCTGCTCTAATGACTTCTTTTAAGCAGATCTGTCACTATCAGTTTCCATTAAAATCCAAACAAAAAAAGAGAACAGTAATAAAATAAATATATTATATTTGTACTCCTAAAGAAAGAAGCTGAGACATAAAATATAATTTTAAAGAATGTTCTTGAGCCAAAATGAGGACCGTTGCCCAGGAAACATTTCCAGATTACCTTGGAAGTTTCTCTGTTTGGTCTTTGTTACAGGTCAGTTTTTAAGGGCAAAAAGGGGGACAAGAAGTGGGCTACAGCAAAGTTGTCAGGAATTGTTTTACAGAAATAACATTGATTAATGATTGGCTATACATTTTTAAACTATAGACTATGAGTTATGGTGTCCAGCATGTGGTGTCGTTAGGTTAGTTTGTAGTAACTTGTGGCATCGGTCAGTCTAGAGTCCACATAGCAAGCAGCTTCAGTGATGATTGCATTGCTCAAGGGGGATAGGAGTGGGACATGATGGGTGTCTCATTTCAGTGCCTCTCTGGGCCTGACAACTTAAAGGGGGCTCACATTTCTCAGATAACAAGTTTATTTTCTTTATTATTTTCCCTTTTGGTCAAAATATTTCCTCTTGAAAGCAATCATGATCAAAGTCTGAATTTTAAGATGTACCTTGTCGCCAAGAAGCCTTATTCTTGGATAATCCTGTCGCATATTGGGGAAAATGAGAAAATGTCATGGTGAGGAATTTTAAGACTGTGCAAAAGCCAAATTGCTATTAAAGAGTGGCAAAAATGCAACCTTAGTTGTTGATTTACATAGCTGCTATTACTTGTTGAATCATATCTAGTCTTCAAAGTACCATGATTTTGGTTTCCTTAGAAGAAGTAAAATGAAAGATACATAGCATTAATAAGTTTAATAGTAGAAATATTATGCACATAAGGATTGTAATGAAAAAGATAATTTGTTTGGGAACCTATTCCATCTAAGACCCAACTAAAAACTAAATGAAGTAAACTAAATCCAGTTTCTTCTTTGTATACTTGTAGCCAAGTGGCTTCTTTGCTAAACTTTTTCTGGAAGAGTTTCTACTTTTATAGGAAGTATATATATATATATACTTCCTATAAAATATATACTTCCTATATACTTCCTATAAAAGTATATGCTTCTATAATATATATATAACAAGAAGTATTTATCACCAAGCATACATCTCCTTGCCCAGTCAGCATATAGCCTAAAAAATGCAACTCTCTAGTACAACCTTAGCCGGTTAATCAATAGCTTTTTGTTGAGCTGTGATGGAGGTTACAGTTTCATCACAATATTTCCTAAAGTTATAAAAAAAAATTATTACCATGTGTTCATGGAAAGTGACACCCAACCAAGGCAAAAAAGCATTCTCCCAATTAAATGCATGTAACTATCTTCTTGATGGCTAGGCAGATAATGAGCAGATTTCTCCCAAATAGAATAACCATCCCGAATAGATTAGTGGTCACACCTAAAGAAAAGTTTGAGGGAACTAGTCTAGTGTTGTGGTTTTTTCAGAGCTATATGTACATAGAGAAGGGAACTCATCAGTTTGTTGTTTTTTTTTTCATAGCAATAGATATAGACAGAGGAGGAAGAGATATTGCTTTTCATTGTTTCATGCTCTTAGACGTTTATAGGCCCATCAACTAGTATGATGTATCCTAAGAGATTATATGTAGAATAATTTTACCAAAACCAGCAAGAGAGGAGTCCTATCATACGAAAGAGGCCTAAAAACACGAGTATACTCGTCAACACAAATAGGAGACCAAATGTTTCAGGTGGAGTAAACATTAGAATCGTGAGGAACTGGGTATACAGCCCAGGTTTGGTATCTTGGCAGAATGGCAGAATCAGACTACCTCAGGTGTCAGCTACTTGATGCCTTGGTCAGAAAGACTGTGAGTCAGCTTCAGTTAACCTTCTCCAGTGACGGAAGATGTCTACTCTGGTGGAGTTGCTTTTTTTTTTTTTTCTTTTGAGACAGGGTCTCACTGTGTCGCCTAGGCCGGAATGCAGTGGCGCATCTCAGCTCACTGCAGCCTCGACTTCCTAGGATAAGTTGATCCTCCCACCTCAGCCTCCCCAAATAGCTGGGACTACAGGAATGTGCCACCACGCCCAGCTAGTTTTTTGTATTTTTAGTAGAAATGGGGTTTCGCCTTGTTGGCCAGGCTGGTCTTGAATTCCTAGACTCAAACAATCTGCCCACCTAGGCCTCCCAAAGTGCTGGAATTATAGGTGTGAGGCACGCACACGGCTGTGGTTATGTTTTCTTTCTTTTCTTTTCTTTTCTTTTTTTTTTTTTTTTATTGAGACAGAGTCTTGCTCTGTCGTCAGGTTGGAGTGGAGTGGCGAGATCTTGGCTCACTGCATCCTCCACCTCCTGGGTTCAAGTGATTCTCCTGCCTCAGCCTCCCAAGCAGCTAGGACTACAGGCGCCCACCACCACACTTGGCTAATTTTTTGTATTTTTTGTAGACACGGGGTTTCACTCTGTTGGTCAGGCTGGTCTCGAACTCCTGACCTCAAGCAATCCACCCACCTTGGCCTCCTAAAATGCTGAGATTACAGGTGTCAGCCACTGCACCTGGCTGGGGTTACCTTTTCTAATGAGAAACATGAATCCATAAGTCAATGTCCTTAAATCTAGCAGCACAGGAATTGGTCTACAATACCTGATATGGTCCATTCCAATGGTGTTAGAGGGAATCTTTTACTTAGGATTGTCTCCAGTAAATGAAATCTCCAAGTTGTAGGCCATGCTTTTTAGGTCTTCATCTCCCAGAACCTCACTGTGAAATAAATATTTAATTTGGAGTTCTTAGTGAGAAGTTTTGTGAGACCTTGGCAATAATCGAGGATATCACCTTTAAGAAGTATAGGCTCTGTTCGTTTTGCTTAAGATCATCTTGGCAACGTGGGCTTTTTTTTGGTTCCATATGAAATTTAAAGTAGTTTTTTTTTTTTCCAGTTCTGTGAAGAAAGTCATTGGTAGCTTAATGGGAATGGCATTGAATCTATAAATTACTTTGGGCAGTATGGTCATTTTCACGATATTGAATCTTCCTATCCATGAGCATGGAGTATTCTTATTCTTCCATTTGTTTGTGTCCTCTTTTATTTCATTGAGCAGTGGTTTGCAGTTCTTCTTGAAGAGGTCCTTCAAATCCCTTGTAAGTTGGATTCCTAGGTATTTTATTCTCTTTGTAGCAATTGTGAGTGGGAGTTCACTCGTGATTTGGCTCTCTGTTTGTCTGTTAATGGTGTATAGGAATGCTTGTGATTTTTGCACATTGATTTTGTATCCTGAGACTTTGCTGAAGTTGCTGAGCAGCATAAGGAGATTTTGGGCTGAGATGATGGGGTTTTCTAAATATACAATCATGTCATCTGCAAACAGGGACAATTTGATTTCCTCATTTTCTAATTGAATACCCTTTATTTCTTTCTCTTGCCTGATTGCCCTGGCCAGAACTTCCAACGCTATGTTGAATAGGAGTGGTGAGAGAGGGCATCCTTGTCTTGTGCCAGTATTCAAAGGGAATGCTTCCAGTTTTGCCCATTTAGTATGATATTGGCTGTGGGTTTGTCATAAATAGCTCTTATTATTTTGAGATATGTTCCATCAATACCTAGTTTATTGAGAGTTTTTAGCATGAAGGGCTGTTGAATTTTGTCAAAGGCCTTTTCTGCATGACTTCAAACTATACTACAAAGCTATGGTAACAAAAACAACAGGGTACTGGTACCAAAACAGATATATAGACCGATGGGACAGAACAGAGGCCTCAGAAACAATGCCACACATCTACAACCATCTGATCTTTGACAAACCTGACAAAAACAATAAATGGGGAAAGTATTCCGTATTTAATAAATGGTACTGGGAAAACTGGCTAGCCATATGTAGAAAGCTGAAACTGGATCCCTTCCTTATACCTTACATAAAAATTAATTCAAGATGGATTAAAGACTTAAATGTTAGACCTAAAACCATAAAAACCCTAGAAGAAAACCTGGGCAATACCATTCAGGACATAGGCATGGGCAAGGACTTCATGATTAAAACACCAAAAGCAATGGCAACAAAAGCCAAAATAGACAAATGGGATCTAATTAAACTAAAGAGCTTCTGCATGGCAAAAGAAACTACCATCAGAGTGAACAGGCAACCTGCAGAATGGGAGAAATTTTTTGCAATCTACCCATCTGACAAAGGGCTAATATCCAGAATCTACAAAGAACTCAAACAAATTTACAAGAAAGAAACAACCCCATCAACAAGTGGGCAAAGGATATGAACAGACACTTCTCGAAAGAAGACATCTATGCAGCCAACAGACACATGAAAAAATGCTCATCATCACTGGTCATCAGAGAAATGCAAATCAAAACCACAATGAGATACAATCTCATGCCAGTTAGAATGGCAATCTTTAATAAGTTAGGAAGCAACAGGTGCTGGAGAGGATGTGGAGAAATAAGAACGCTTTTACACTGTTGGTGGGAGTGTAAATCGGTTCAACCATTGTGGAAGACAGTGTGGAGACTCCTCAAGGATCTAGAACTAGAATTACCATTTGATACAGCAATCTCATTACTGGGTATATACCCAAACGATTATAAATCGTGCTACTATAAAGACACATGTACACGTGTGTTTATTGCGGCACTTTTCACAGTAGCAAAGACTTGGAACCAACCCAAATGTCCATCAATGATAGACTGGATTAAGAAAATGTGGCACATATACACCATGGAATACTATGCAGACATAAAAAAAGGATGAGTTCATATCCTTTGCAGGGACATGGATGAAACTGGAAACCATCATTCTGAGCAAACTATCACAAGGACAGAAAACCAAACACTGCATGTTCTCACTCATAGGTGGGAATCGAACAATAAGATCACTTGGACACAGGGCGGGGAGCATCACACACTTGGCCCTGTCAGGGGTAGGTGGCTGGGGGAGGGATGGCATTAGGAGAAATACCTAATGTAAATGATGAGTTGATGGGTGCAGCAAACCAACATGACACATGTATACCTATGTGTCAAACCTGCACGTTGTGCACATGTACCCTAGAACTTAAAGTATAAAAAAAAAAGAAGAAAAAGTGTAGGCTCATGAGTTCCTTCATCTAGTTTCATAGGCTTCCTTGCTATTATTTCAAAAGAAAAGAGCTGGTGTTTTCCAAATGAGGCAATCATAGTTTGAGCAGGACTGATGGGAGAGCCTGTGGCCAGGTAGTGTTAAAAACTTCTGTTAGTTTTGCCAGTTGAGGTTTTACTATGCCATTGGTGTGTTCCACCAGTCCAGAGGATGTGGGCTATTGGGGGAGATGACAGTGATTGGTACAAAGAAAGTGTTGGAAAATAGGCAAAATGTTGCAAATGGATCAAATTACTTGACCAGTAAAGCATGTTTCTCAGTCACTATGGAGCTGAGATAAAACTCCTCATGTAGCAATTATCTTTTCTAATAACAATTTACTTACTGCTTAAGCCATAGTTTGTCAGCATAAGAATGCGTCAATACAATGAGAGAACAAACAAATTACCACAAAAACATACCCATAACCCTGAGATGGAGGCAGCTGGGCAAAGAGTAATTGTTGTAACTTAAAGGGTCCTACAGGTAAATGAAAATGTCCACATGACCCATGAAAGGATTTTCCAGGATTGTTTGGGACAAACACTACAGTAAGAAAAAACCTGTGCAACAGTAGTGGGTAGTTTTCAATAATATGGCTTTCCCCCTTGCTATTATTATGTCCGGATTCAAATGCAAAAAGGTAATTGAAATCCTAAAGGAAAGATCAGTTTATCCACACCATGAGCCTAATTCTGGGAAAAATTTGCCTTTTTTATTTTTCCAGTCGTCTATTTTCTTCTGAGGGCTGTTGTTTGTGGTTTCTTAAATAAAACTTTAATGGGTAATAAGTCTGTAAGGACATTTCAAAGCATTTATTGTCTAACATAACCCTCAAGGCTTCATTCTTAGCTACAGCATCAGTGAAATGGTTTCCTTTACTTTCTGGAATATCTAGTTTTGAATGACCAAGAACTTTAATGATGGCTAGATATTTGGGGTTTGGATTACTTCCAAGAGGTCGAAAATTTGTTGACAATTTTGGTGAATTGACCTGAAGAGGTCAGAACCTGTGTTGCTTCCAAAGCATCCCTCAAACCATAAGCTACCGTGAATGCATATCTGCTGTGAGCACAAATGTTAGCCATGTTATTCTTTGCCAACTGACAAACTCAAGTTAGAGCAATCAATTCTACCAACTGAGCCAATTTTATATATGGAAGAGGATTATCCTCTATAACCTCAGTTAGTGATACTATGGCATAACTAGCCCAAAATTTTTCAGATTTCATCTTTCAAATTACAATCATCAGTGAGCCATATTATACTGGCATTATTTATGGGCATCTCTCTTAGGTCCTGTCTATCAGTCAGAAAGAGTGATGCAATCATATGGCATCCTCTCAGTAGGCAAGGGCAAGAGATTTGCTGGGTTAAGATTGTTATAGCAAAATATTAACATTAGGTGAGGACAAAAGAAGAGCTTTATAGGAAGCCAGTCATTTAACAGAGTAATGTTGGGTGTGATGTGAGTTCAGAAGAATTTCCAAACAGCAGAGTACAAATGGTAAAAGGGGATTCCCTAACTATTTCTTCAATAGCCTTAAAGGGCAAAGTGACGGCAGAGATTGCTCTTAAGCATGGTGGTATCCCTGTAGCCACTGCATCAAGTTGCTGGCTGTAGTATCTAGCAGGTCTATTTTGTTCCCCATGTTTCTGTGTTAGGACTCCTAAGGTGTTTCCCTGATCTTCATCAATGAACACAGAAAACTGAAGGCTATAGTCGAGAGGCCCTAAAGCACAGAAAGTTGCAAGACTTGATAAATTGTATGGCTTTCATTCCCTCTGGAGTCCAAACAAGAGAATCAGGCTGGTTCACTATCAAGAGGGTATGTAAAGGCTGAGCTATTAAAAAAATAGGTATCCAATTCCAACAGTGTCCAGCCAATTCCAGAAATCCTTGCTTCTTTTTTGAATGCGTAGGGAAGGCTAGAATTCGTTTAATCCTTCAGCAAGCCTTTGTTACAAATCAAGTGTCTCGTGTATTTTACCTGCATCTAGCAAAATTGGAGTTTCTCTTTAGAAATTTTGTGTCCCTTAAATGACAATTGTTTTCATAGATGCATGCTGTCATTCTTAGAGGTTTGCATATTCAGGGAATAAAGAAGGACACCATCTACACATTAGATGAGCATACATTCCCTCTAGTACAGGGGTCCCCAGTCCCTGGGTCATGAACTGGTAATGGTCGATGGCCTGTTAGCAACTGTGCCAGACAGCAGGAGGTGAGTGGCAGGAGAGTAAGTATTACCATCTGAGCTCTACCTCCTGTCAGATCACTGGCCACATTAGATTTTTACAGAGGCGCAAACCCTATTGTGAACTGTGCATGAGAGGGTTTGAGGTTGTGTGCTGCTTGTGATAATCTAACTAATGCCTAATGATCTGAGGTGGAGCAGTTTCATCCTGAAGCCATCCACAACCCCCACCACGCCCCACCGCCAGTCCATGGAAAACTTGGCTTCTGGGAAATTGATCTCTGGTGCCAAAAATTTTGGGGACCTCTGCCCTAACAAATGTACATTAACCAACTTAGATTTCAAGATTTGAAAAAATACAGGAATTGCTCTCAGTATAACCTTGGGGCATGATGGTCCAGGTATACTGGTAGTCATCTCAAGTAAAAGCAAGTGAGTATTGACTCCATGGGCCTACTGGAATATCAAAGGAAACACTGCATAAATCAACCATGGTATGTATATATATACAACTTTCAGTAAGGACTGCTGCCAAAAGAATATGGGCTTTTGGTACCACCAGATGTCTTGGGATCACAATGTTCTTGACAGTTCTCAAATGTTATACAAAAGTCCAGCCCCTCCTGTTTGGCTTCCTTACAGAAAGGATCAGAGTATTACATTGGCTGGTGCAAGAAATAATTAGACCATTTTAAATATATCTTTTATTATGGGTCTGATTCCTTCAATTGCTCTAGGCCTTAGAGGATATTGTCTGGTAAAGGTTTAATAAGGTTTACTTCTACTTTACTGAGGGTGGATTAATATATTTTACCAAAGTAAGTAGAAGATTGGGATGAAAAGTGGTCTGGCAAAGCTTGCAATAAGCCATCAATGTCATTCATTAGTCCCAGTTCAGAAAAAAAATTGTTTGAACTATATTTTTTATAATTTTAGTGTTTTCATTCTTAGTCTGTAGTTGTTCCATTTGCTCCTTCTATTCCAAATTTAACTATATTTCCCCCTTTTGTGAGAAGGAAATTAGTGTATTATGAAATTCCAAAAAAAATCTCTGCCCAAGAGATGTATGGGAGCCAAGGCAACAGGCCGAAGGGAATGAAGGCCACTAAATGAGCTTACTTAAAATTCTCAGGGTTTGGACTTATATACAGTCATAGGTTCATTAGATACCGCTACCATTTCTTACAGTTTTATTACTCTAAGAAAGGAGACAGTTTAAAGTGGTAGGGCTGAGAACAGAGAGAGTAGCCTCAGTGTCTATGAGGGTACACATCTGTTTTCCATTTGTGGAAATTTCCATTTCTCCTAATACATCTTTGAGACCTTAGTTTTTTCTTCTTTCTGAATAGTTTTAGAAAGTTGATCTCCCACACTTCCTAAGTTATGGGTTTGTATATCTGCAAAGTTAAGATGGTATTATTTAAATAAGGTAACCAAGTCTTCATGTAAGCCATTGAAGAAAGCAGAATTTATAAGAAAATCATTCTGATGACCTTGGAGGCTAGCATCAGGCATTTCAGAATATTGTTTAAATGTTTTTTTTTTTCAAGCTGTTCAAAATAATCCAGCACAGATTCATCTGGCTTTTTAGAGCATTGATTAATTCTCCTCAAAGCTACATTATTTGGAAAGGTCTGGAGAATGGCATCACAAAGAGCCTGGGCTAAGGTGTAGACACCTTCATGGTTGGCTTCAGTCTTTTTTTAAAACATCCTATGAGGTATTGTTCTAAGCTTGCCATTTTCAACCATTCAGTGGCCCTGTCTTTTGATGCCAGCGTGTGAACTAATTGATAAAAGTCAGACTATCTGTGTTCTTATGTCCTGACAATTAAATGAATTTTTTTTTTTTTTTTTTGCAAACACTATGGGATCTTGGAGAAGCTCTGGGAAGTCTTTTATACTATTCTTAAGTTCAGTCTTTGTCCAACGGGTGTGCATAATAGGAGGCTCACATCTTTCTGCAGGTTTTACCTTGAAAGGGGCTGCAAAAATAGGAGTTTCAGAAAGGATGTCAGAGATGTAGAAAATTTCCTCAGGTGGTCAGGGAGATAGAATTGAAGGCAAGTAAGGACAGGAAAGTTTAGATACAAGAAGATATAAAGGTTCAGGCGTGGGTGGAGAAGGAGCAGTGGAGGTGGAAGGGAGAAGAAGGTCTCCTAAGTGAAGTCCTTTTTAATTCAGAAATAGTCTCAGATATCTTTTTCTTTATCTCCTGAATGGAGGCAATTTTTTCAACCTTTTTAGAAGCTTCTACCTGCCATTAGAAGTGAGTCTCTCATTCAATATTTCTGGTTTTAAAACCAGTTTTTCCGGTTGTACATGCAAATAATTTTGTAAGCATTTCAAAAGACCCACATTTCAGCCACTGTAGCTTATCACCAACCTGGGCCATGGGGGTCCATTTTTCTAGATATTTACAAAAGAACACTCTTTAAGTATTTTACATAAAACCAAATGGTGTTTTTAAAGGAGATCATCCCTTTAAAAAGTGCTCATATTTTGAAGCTTGATTTTCCATAATTTAAGAACTTTTGGAAAGCGTCCAAGGCTGAAAACATGCTTTGGGTCAAAGTATGCTGCCTATGAGCATCACTCCCCAGAGCGTCACCTAAACATCATGAATTGCTATATTGGGTGTCTCAGAATTTCTGGCTAATTACAGTGGCAGTGGCAGAGTGCTCAGAGTGCCAGGTGACCAACTCTTATGTGCACTTTCTGGCTGAGCTGAAAGTCCCTCCAGGTTTTCTTTTTTCAGGGAAGCCCTATAAGGCTGCTATACATCACAGCCAAATGTTGAGGCCCCTCTGCAAAGTCTGTAGTCTCCTAGAGCACCCAAATGGGTCGGGGGAGCAATTGCCTCTTCTCTTTTGAATAGAAAATAAGCCTCATAAAATACAGGGGCAGAATTTGGTTACAATAAGAAATAAAGCAGGTCCAGAAAAGCATTACTTCAAAACAATTGTTCAGATAGAGAAAATCCATCAGTGTTCACTGTTTAACCAATAAGCCAAACTTCTGGCCAAAGGCAAAGGTAGAAAAGGCAGCTTTTTTGTTTTTGTTTTGTTCCTGAGACCCAAATATACCAGATGGAAACCTCCATTCTAGAAAGGGAGGGTTGGAATAGACAGATAAAGAAAAGTCTAGACATCATCAAAGAGTAGGGAGGTCAGAATCCAGAAGGACTCATTCCTTACACTGGATAATGCTGTCAGAGGCAGAACACAAGGGGTTCTAGGTGACCAGGCATCAAGTCCAGAAAGAGTGTTGCATGGTGGGATGGATTGCTCTGAACCCTGCTTGCAGTGTCAGAAATGTTGATCTAAATAATGAAATTGAGTGACAAAATAAAATTTTGGAGTTTACTTGAGCCAAAGTGAGGACAGCTGCCTATGAAACACTTCCGGGTTACCTCGTGTATTAGTCTGGTTTCACACTGCTAATAAAGACCTACCCGAGACTGGGTAATTTATAAAGGAAAGTAGTTTAATGGACTCACAGTACCACATAGCTAGGGAGGCCTCGCAATCATGGTGGAAGGCAAAGGAGAAGCAAAGGCACATCTTACATGGTGGCAGTCAAGAGAGCATATGTAGGAGAACCCTCATTTATAAAACCATCAGATCTCATGAGACGTATTCACTACCACGAGAACAGGTATGGGGGAAATCGCCCCCATGATTCAATTGTCTCCACCTGGTTCTGCCCTTGAGCTTTGGGTGGGGACACAGCCAAACCATAACACCTTGTGAAGTGCATTTTTCAGCTTTTGTTACAAGCATGTTTTTAAAGAAAGCAGGGAAAGAAGTGGACTGAAACAAGGTTGTTTGTCAGAAATTATCATTGGTTTACAGAAATAACATTAATTAGTGATTGACTATACATTGTTGAACATAGGGTATGAATTATGGTGTCCAGTATGCAGCATTGTTAGATTAATTTCTAGCAACTTGTGGCATCAGCCTAGAGCCCACATAGCAAGCAGCTTCTGGAGATGAATACTTAACTCAAGGCAAGGGAGCAAAACATGGCTGTTGTCTCATTCCAGTGCCTGTCTGGATCTGATAATTTAAAGGCTCCCATTTCTCAGATAAGTTTCCTTTCTTCCTCATTTTGGAGCTTGTTGCCTTTTAATAACTTAATTCCCAGTAACAATACAGAATGAAACAGCTGAGCACAATGTGAGAAATAATCTACAACAGTTTTTCTTCATGTAGATGAGAAAGAAACCTCAAAGAATACAAAAATTTACTTGCTAAAGATCATGCTGTTAGCTAATATTAGACTTGCAAGAAAGTATCCTTTTCTGATATCAATTTTGATGATTTCTTAAACAGTCTGACTACCTGCTGCATAAAACCTCTTCTTCTACTTTTTTAATTACATATTTATCTTTTCTGCCACTTCTCTAGTTTACCGTCTTTTTTTACTTTTAACAACTAAGCAAAACAATATGTTTAACTTGTCAAAGAAGACTTTGACAACTAAAGATACAATACTGTTTCTTTGACTTCTGATGACTCCTCTAATAAATGTACACATCAGTCTACCTCACCTAATAAGTAAATCATTTTGGGGTATAATTACAGAACAGAAAATGCTGCTTTAAATGTTGACTAGGATGGGAATAACTAATCTTTATAATTAAACTGAAAGCTTTTCAAAGAGTTCAGTTCCTTAGACTAAGGCTTCCCACTGCTAAAAAGTAAATTACTTTGGAGACATTTCAGGGATCTGAAGTCTTTTCTCAGATTCATAGGGACACACAGAGTTCTCCAGTACACGGCCCCAGGGAGAGTTTCACTTCTGAACAGATGCTAATGTTTCATGCAATTTAGCAGTGGATATGGTAATGAAACAATTTTATTTAACTGTAGACTAGAAGGGAGACACAACCTGCATGATTTGATAATGTTCAAATTGAAACTGCCTTAAGGAGATGGAAATTGACACATATCTAGCGTTGTTTAAAATTTACAAAGTACTTAAAATGTCTTTTTGTCAATAAAAATGTTCTTTACTTTTATCTGTATTTGGCGTGAAGTTTTTATCATTCTAACCATATTGTAGGTGGTGTGGCAAAAACAAGAGATATTGTTTTATTGGCCTTCTGTGTCTATTAAATGATTTTTTCTGTGGGAAAATGTCTGATAAGAAAAATACATATTTTAAAATAATAAGATATCATAACTAAAGAACTGGAAAGTATCATATGAAATAACCTTTTCTTTTCTATGAAATTTTCTATAAACTGGCTCAAAAATGTATCTTAATGAATTTGTGGTTTTAAATGACTGATATTCACACTTCTTGTACCAGAAAATCATGTATAAGAAAATGTCCTCCAAAGTTGCATTGTTTTCTTTTCCTAGAACTGGCTAGATAAAAATATCCAGAAAACACTGATGTTGTCTACAGCAATTATCAATTATTAACATATCACGACTAGAAGCCAACTGTAAGAAGACTAAACTGATTTTTAAAAATAATTTTACATTTTCCTTATTTGACACCAAATAATAAACCACTCATATTTATAACCTGGTCTCCATTGGTATATTTTCATGTTCTGTCAATTATTTAAATTTCTATGTGTTTACTAGGGTTTGTGGTGTCAGTTCTTCTTCTTCTGCCATAAGAATAATAAGGGGATCTTAAGCGTCCCTGAATGTTAGAATTTGATTGTGTTATAATGAGGAGAACCAGGAACAAATTGCCATTTTAATGTATCAACTGGGAAAAACACAGATGGGACTCTCTAATAGGCAATTATGAAAAGTTTAAAGAAGGAATAATTGACTTGAGTGGCCAGGGATACAACAAACTAAGAGAGAAGTTACCATCCATAGGACAGAAGAGTCAAAGGGTAAAATAAGTTTTAATCCAGAGGGAAGCCAGGAGCCTGGGCTTTAGAAAAATCACCCAACAATAGCTTTAGGCTTTGGAGAGAAACGGCCACTGGCCACCCTCATCGCCCTATTTCTATTATCCCATATCCTATCAGTATCACCTTTGCAGGTGGCAGAATATGCTACCCCAAAATATGTCATTTGGCATAAAAATTACTTTGAGTTAAAGGCACTTGAAAAATAACAAATGCAAGACAAGAACTCTGATGTGTTATTTTCTTCCTGAAAATAGGAGATGAAACTGTCAAGTGAAAGATACCCTTCTTGTACCCGTAGGAAACACACATTCTCTCTCTCTCTCTCTCTCTCTCTCACATGGTGAGATGTGAGATAAGATGAACCATCTTATCACCAGAAACAGGGAGTTGAGGCCCAGGAAAATCTGTGCAAATAAGTCTTATTAAGCCAACTTTTATCTTTGTAGTCACTTCTCCATAATTAACTGTCCTAGTCCAAGCCCCTCTGTCTTGTCACATTTTCATAATTCACTACTCTGTCTTACTTAGTATATAAGCATTTGATTCTACTGCTTCTTTGTGTCTTCATTTTCCTGTGTGGGATTCCATGTACATACAAGAATATGTATGCTTTTATTTTGCTAATATAACTTACGTCAATTTAATTCTCAGTCGCCAGCCAGAGACTCCAAGAGGATAAGGATAAAATTTTGCCTCCCCTAAACTCCCATCAGCTAAACTTAGTGAAATAAAGGGCAAAAAAATCCCTGTTGATTTCGTTCATAAGTTCAGTCTCCTGGGACATAATCAAGATGCTGAAGCATCGTGGAGACTTTATCTGGTAGAGAAGATAAATATAGTCTACATTGGGAGAATGAAATTTTATCAGTCCCAAGGTTTTCTTCTACTTTCCTTCTTTTCTTTTTTTTTTTTTTTTTTTGAGATGAAGTCTCACTCTTGTGGCCCAGGCTGGAGTACAGTGGCACAATCTTAGCTCACTGCAACTTCCATCTCCTGGGTTGAAGTGATTCTCCTGCCTCAGCCTCCCAAGTACCTGGGATTACAGGCGCCCACCAGCACACCTGGCTACTTTTTGTATTTTTAGTAGAGACGGGGTTTCACCATGTTGGTCAGGCTGGTCTCGAACTCCTGAACTCAGGTGATCCAACTGCCTCAGCTTCCCAAGGTGCGGGGGTTACAGGCATGAGCCACTGCACCCAGCCTTTTTTTCTTTTTTATCTACTCTATTTTCCAAACATATGATTTGGAAATTTGAGATAAATAACTGGTGCAGCTGTTTTTCTCTGGGATCCAGCCTGACCACAGAGAATATGTGATTTTTATTTGCTATGCTGGTCTCTAAGCCTTGTTGACTTATACCAGTACTACCTCTGACAGCTTGGCTAAGTTTCCTTACTTGTAAATTCAAGGGGTCAGTTAGTTTTTACGCTAACATATGTCCTCCTACCTAGTTCTATCATAACAGAGGTAATGTTTTCTCCTTAATATTGACTCCTTATTTCAAATCTCAGCCTCTTCAGGTTTTGAGGAGAAAACAGAGATGATTTGTATTGGAAAGGCCCCAGGGAACTCTCAACGCATGCATGACACTCAATGTTGTACTTCATTGTCATGATTATTTGGCCTTCTCGATAGAGTTATAACATGTTTACTACTCTCCTTGGAGGTATAAAAAATGTTTTGAAATATGATTGAAGTGGAGTTAGTCATAGAGATATGAAAACCAGTACTCTTCCCCTTACAGGAAGAAAGGCTACTACAATGTCAATCCTCAAAAGACTACTGTTGTCTCAAAATGTGGTTGTCTCGTAACCTTCATCAACATAAAAGAGAAAAGAACAGAAATACTGTGAACAAATTTCTAAAATATTTAAGGAAATTTTTGATAAACTTTCAGGAATACCTTAAAAAGCTATGGGATCAGGTAATGTTTACTAGTAAAGCAAATGAAGGTGTATGTATTCATAATTTGCCTTACAGAATAATTTTTCTATCCAATAAGAATGATTATCATCAAGCCCAATATTTTCTTGTTCATCATGGGGAAAATAAACGTTAAGTTATAATCATTTACCATACTTAATATTTAATATTGGGTATATTTCTACATTGTGTCATGTATTGAGGTTTACATGATATACAATACAATGATATACAATGCAATGCACTTTTAAGTGTACAGGCCAATGTATTTTTTTTTTAGACAGAGTCTTGCTCCTTCACCAGGCTGGAGTGTAGTGGCACAATATCAACCCACTGCAACCTCCGTCTCCTGGGTTCAAGCTATTCTCCTGCCTCAGCCTCCTGAGTAGCTGGGATTACAGGTGTGCACCACCATGCCCAGCTAATTTTTGTATTTTTAGTAGAGACGGGGTTTCACCATGTTGGTCAGGCTGGTCTTGAACTTCTGACCTCGTGATCTGTCTGCCTCAGCCTCCCAAAGTGCTGGGATTACAGGCATGAGCCACTACGCCCGGTAGGCCAATTATTTTATCAAATGCATATACCCATGTAGCCATGAACACAATCAGGATATAGAACTTTTCTATTATACCAAATGTATCCTCATTCCTATTTCCAGTAAATATTTTCACACTCTGGCATTCAGGCAACAAGTGAGCTTTTTTTCTGACACTATAGATTAGTCTTGCTTTTTTATGATTTAATATATATCAAACCGTATGAAGTTTTTTCTTATTTCTTTTACTCAGCAAAATGTTTTTGATGCTCATTCATATTGTGGTGTGTATCTGTAGTTTGTATCATATGATTGCTGAGAAGTGTTTCCTTATATATAGATTTGTCACAGTTTTCTTATTTTCCTGCTGATGGACATTATGTTTTTCCAGTTTTTGATTATTTTAATAAACTGTTTGTAAACTTTCATGTACAAATATTTTTGTGGACATACATTTCATTTCTCTTTAATCAAAATTGAGAAGTAGAAATGCAAGGTCATATATTAAGGATGGATTTAACTTTCTAGAAACTGGCAAATAGTTTATTAAAGTGGTTGCACCATTTTTACAACCCCACTAGCAGCGTGTGAGAGTTCCCATGGCATTACAGATACTTAATACTCGCAATGATTATTACTATTGTCATTTTAATGTGTGATTAGTGGCATCTTATTTACCTCTCACTTATTTGACTAACATTTAGAAAAATGTTCTTATATATTTACACAAATCATTTTAAGATGAATGTTTATTTGTTACCAATGAGTTGATGGTATTTGACGATTTACACAAATATATTGCTGTGCGTGAATTAATGTTTCTTTTTGATTATGGTAATTTTCAAAATTAATCCCTATCTTCTCATATTTCTTGATGTTCAACAATCTTTACTACTACTGTTAAATGAGTTACCAGTTGTTTAACATACTATATCTCAGATATTCTTCCACGGGAACACATATTAACTCACTTGATTTTCAGAACAACTGAGTCATAGAGAAGTTTAGAAAGTTGAATAAATGTGTTTGTTTTACTGTTGTATATGTGTCTGTTTATTTACCTATATAGATATATATATACAGTTGTCCTTTGGTATCCATGGAGGAATGGTTCCAGGATGCTGCCAACACTAAACTTAGTGGATCCTCAACTTCCTTATGTAAAATGTTGCATATAATCTATGCACGTACTCCTGTATATTTTAAATTATCCCTAGATCATGTATGATATGTAATCAAATATAAATAATTGTTAATAGAATAAGGACAAAAAAGGTTTGTTTGTGTTCAGCATGGACACTTTGTTTTTCCTCTGAATATTTTGAAGCCACAGATGAAGCACCAATGGATACAGAGGACTGACTGTGCAGATATATGTACCTGCCTATCTCTACTTTAAATGTCAATAAATCTCCCACAATAAGAATGCAATTATTTATAAATCCCACTAAAATTTTATCCTCATTATTACACACCTCTGTTCCATGTGGCTCTCAAAGGGATTGTAAATCTTTCCATTTTGCCACAGGGGAAAGTAAGCATCCCAGTCGTGTCAATCACCATACTTCTTTCCCACATTGACATTTACTGACCGATCTTAGTCTTTCCCCCGGAATTTTATATACAGAGACCAGATGTAAGAAATAGTTCTCTATAGAGTCCAAAACAAAACAAAAACAAAAACCAAGAGAGTGTAAACCTGGAACATTATATGATTTTGTCTCCCATCTCTCTGCTTCATGAAGGAAATCAGTACATGAAAAATAAAGCTAATTTAGAAAAAAAATCAGGTTATTTGTATTGGGGCATGTGATATGGTTTGGCTCTGTGTACCCACCCACATCTCATGACAAATGGTAATCCTCATTGTTGGAGGGGGGTCCTGATGGGAGGTGATTTATTTATGGAGGTAGACGTCCCCTTTGTTTTTCTTATGATAGTGAGTGAGTTTCCACAAGATATGGTTGTTGGAAAGTGTGTAGCACCTCCTTTGGTCTCTCTTCTTCTGGCTCCAGCCATGTAGGATGTGTCTTCTTTCGCTCAGTCTTCCACCATGATTGTAAGTTTCCTGAGGCCACCCCAGCCATGCTTCCTGTACAGCCTGAGGAACCATGAGAAAATTAAACTTCT
Source organism: Homo sapiens (assembly GCF_000001405.40). Taxonomy (NCBI): domain Eukaryota; kingdom Metazoa; phylum Chordata; class Mammalia; order Primates; family Hominidae; genus Homo; species Homo sapiens. The sequence goes on from NW_003315968.2 coordinate 190,971, forward strand.
TTTCTTCATAAATTACCCAGTCTTGGGTATGTCTTTGTAGCAGTGTGAGAATGAACTAATATAGAAAATTGATGCCAGAAAAGTAGGCTATTGCTGTAAAGATACTGGAAAATATGGAAGCAGCTTTGGAACTGGGTAATGGGCAGATGTTGGAAAAGTTTGGAGGGCTCAGAAGAACACAGGAAAATGAGGGAAAATTTGGAAATTCAACTTCCTAGAGACTTGTTAAATTGTTGCGACTGAAATGCTGATAGTGATATGGACAATGAAGTCCAGGCTGAGGTGGTCTCAGATAGAGATGAGGAACTTATTGGGAACTGGAATAATCGTCACTCTTGCTATGCTTTAGCAAAGAGAATGGAGGCATTTTGTCCCTGCCCTAGATCCGTGGAACTTTGAACTTGAGAGAGATTATTTAGAGTATCTGGGGGAAGAAATTTCTAAGCAGAAAGCATTCAAGATGTGACCTGGCTGTTCCTAACAGTGTACAGTCATATGAATTCAGAAAAAGATTTTCTGAAATTGGAACTTATGTTTAAAAGGGAAGCAGACCATAAAAGTTTGGAAAATTTTCAGCCTGACCATGTGGTAGAAAAGAAAAAAACACATTTTGTAGGGAGAAATTCAAGCCAGTTGTGGAAAATTGCATAAGTAAAGAGTAACCAAATGTTAATAGCCAAGAAAATGGGGGAAATACCTCAAAAGAATTTTGGAGACCTTCACAGCAAGCCCTCCCACCAAAGGCCTGGAGGCGTAGGAGGGAAGAATGGTTTTGCAGGCTGGGCCCAGGGCACTTCTTTCCTGTGCAACATCAGGACACTGTTCCCTGTGTCCCAGCCACGCCAGTTCTGGCGATGGCTAAAAGGGACCCAGACATGACTTAGGCTGCTGTTCCAAAGCATGCAAGCTGCAAGCCTTGGCAGTTTCCGCATGGTGTTAAGTCTGTGTGGGAGCAGAGGGCAGGAACTGAGGCTTAGGAACCTCTGCCTAGATTTCAGAGGACATATGGAAATGCCTGGATATCCAGGCAGAGGTTTGCCTCAGGGGCAGAGCCCTCAAGGAGAACCTCTACTAGGGCATTGCAGAAGGGGAAATGTGGGGTTAGGGCCCCTACACAGAGTCCCCACTGGGGCACTACCTAGTGTAGTTGTAAAAAGAGGTCCACCATCCTTCAGACCCCAGAATGGTAGATACACTGACAGCTTGCTCTATGTGCCTGGAAAAGCAAAAGGCACTCAATGCCAGCTTGTGAAAGCAGCTGTGAGGAAGTCTATACCCTCCAAAGCCACAGGGGTGGAGCTGCCCAACACCATGGGAGCCCACCTCTTGCAACAGTGTGACCTGGATGTGAGACATAGAGTCAAAGGAGATTATTTTGGAGCTTTAAGATTTATTGACTGCCCTGCTCGGCTTCCGACTTGCAGCGGAACTGTTGCCCCTTTGTTTTGGCCAATTTCTCCCTTTTGGAATGGGTGCATTTACCAAAAGCCTTTACCCCCATTGTATCTTGGAAGTAACTAGTTTTTATTTTACAGGCTCATAGGCGGAAGATATTTGCCTTATCTTAGATGAGACTTTGAATTTGGACTTTTGAGTTAACGCTAGAATGTGCTAAGACTTTGGGGGCTGTTGGGAAGGCATGATTGTGTTTTGAAATTGTGAGAAGCACATGAGATTTTGGAGTGACCAGGAGCAGAATTATATGGTTTGGGTCTGTGTCCCCATCCAAATCTTGTGTCAAACTGTAATTTTCAACATTGAAGGAGGAGTGTGCTGTGAGGTGATTGGATCATGGGGCAAGTTTCCTCACTGCTGTTCTCATGATAGTGAGTTCTCAGGAGATATGGTTGTTTAAACATGTGTAGACTTCCCAATTTTCTCTCTCTCCTACTGCAGCAATGTGGGACATGCTTCCTTAACCTTCGCCTTCCACCACGATTGTAAGTTTCCTGAGGCCTCCACAGTCCCGGTTTCTGTATAGCCTGTGGAACCATGAGACAATTAAACCTCTTTTCTTTATAAATTATCCAGTCTCAGGTAGTTATTTACAGGAATACAAGAACAGACTAATGTAGTATGTTAGTTTCACATGGCTACCAACAAAGCCCCACAAATTGGGTAATTTCTTTTAGCATAAAAGAAATTTATTTTTCTACAGTTCTGGAGGCTAGAAATGTAACATTAAGATGTCCTCAAAACTATGTATCCTTTGAAATCTACAGAGGTATCCCTCCTTTCCCCTCTCTCACTTCTCACAATTTGCTGGTTATCTTTGGCATTCCTTGGCTTGCAGCTGAGTAATTCCAGCCTCTGTCTATGTAATCGCATGGTCTTCTCCCTGTGTGTATCTGTTCCACATGGCCATCCTCTTATGAGGACGCCAGTGCTATTGGAATAAAGACTCACTATTTCAGCATGAACTCAGCTTAATTCATTACATCTGAAACAACTCAGTTTTCAAATAAGGTCACATTATGAAGTACTTAAAGGTAAGAACTTCAGTATATCTATTTTCTCTGGGGAGTGGGGGCAAAGTTAAACCCATAACATGGGGTTAGGAGAGGATAAGATAGTGATAAATGGGTAAATATTTGAATCTCAAAGTCCAGTTGTTCCTGTTGCCAATCATAATTATGAAATCCCAGATACAAAGGCTAATACATTATATTTTTTGCTTTAGATAGTTTACTCCAAACAAAATAATCCTAACACATCTGTTTTACTTCTGTAGCTGTAGGCATTCCTGTTGCTTACAACCAATGAACTCTGCCTTATTGTCGAGATAATCACATTTTGCTGAATGCAAAATCTGTGATGTAATGATTTTTTTTAAAAGCCTGCTTTAAAGTAGGAGATCTTATTAGTGGATGAGACCTTGACCAATAAGACTAGAATCCTTTGCTTTTTCAAGGTTCTATTAGATTTGAGAATGGATAGAGTGCCGGGAACGTTGACTCTGTACCCCTTTGTCTCTACCTACAAACTCTCTTCTGAATTAGTCAAGGAAAGTTTGTTTCCTGTTGCCTAGTTCAGGGCTTCTCACGGTGCAATCCAAAGACCTCAGTCACCAAATAATCTGAGACAATGTATTAAGTATATAGTCTTTCATGCCTTATCCTCAAACTATAGGATAAGATTCTTTGACAAAACTTACGGAATCCATTTATATAAAGTTGGTATCCACTGCAGCAACTACATGCATGAAACATCATGAGTGAATTGCAATGCTTTATCCTAAGTGGAAGAAGCCCAATCCCAAAGGTCACATATGTGTATGATTAAATTGATGTAATATTCAGGGAAAGGCAAAATTATAGAGACAAAGAACAGATCAGTATTTGCTGGGACTGGGGTTGTGGAAAGGGATTTACTAAAAAGAAGCATGAGGGAATGGGGGTGGGTTTGTAACTTCTGTATCCTGATTGAGCTGGTGTTTACAAGACTGTATGCATTTGAGAAAACAGAGAACTATAAATCTAAAGAGTCAGTTTCACAGCACGTAAAGTATATCTCAATTTAAAAAAGAAAATTCAACTACGTGAATGCTTTTATTTCCCCTTTTACTTTCAGAAATTAATATTGCTGGTAGATTCTTGACTGATAAATAATTTAAATTATTGTAATTTGTTTTAAGCTGTATCTGTTTGCCTTAGAAAGTGTCCTTTTGTATTTAATTATTTGTCTCATTTTATGCCTTCACGATACCTGGTAATAAAATTATGATGCATGTTTTACTCTGTTTAAACTTGCCTCATATCACATTGTCCATAACTTTATATCCAACAATCCAATTTTACAGAATTGCTCTTTCTCTCTCATATATGTATACACATATATGTGTGTGTGTGTATACACATATATATATATACACACATATACACACATACATATTCCCCCTTGTATTCAGCATTGAATTAGGACTATTTACATATCCAATATGCAATTCTGATTCTTTGCATAAGTAAGTTTAATATTTTTCCCACTACAAGATAAAGAATATGGAATTATATTTGTTCTTTGTGGCATATTTAACCCAGGAAGGGGGGAATAATGAATATATCACATGTGTACTTTTTTTACTGCTAAAATATCCTGCAGTTTTCTTTTTCTGACAGTTAAAAAATACAGACAAATCTCATTCTATGCTACTACAATTGCCTATGCCCATTTGACTGCTTTCCTAAATGTGTTTGACAGTGTTGATAATCTGTAGGAGATGTTTCTGTAACTACAACCTCACAGACATTTCTGAAAATAATACCCTGGTACTTAGGAAAGGCTCATATTTAGTTACATAGTCCCAAAACATGCATTTCATTTTGTGAATGTAGAAGGAACCATATGCTTTATTAAACTTAATGATGAATTATAAACCACCCATGGAAACAAGTACCAGTGAGGAGGTAAGAGAAAATGGGAAGTTAATACAAATTAAAGTGTAAGGCCATACATACATAGAACCAGCTGAGCCTTTGTTTTCCATAAAGTTTATATTTAATTTTTTATGGTAGTCTATATTTAAGAAATTCATTTTTTGTGTGTGTTCTATTTTGACTTGGTTTCAAGAAGAGCATTAATAGTTGATGTGCGTGAACCCGGGAGGCGGAGCTTGCAGTGAGCCGAGATTGCACCACTGCACTCCAGCCTGGGCGACAGAGTGAGACTCCGTCTCAAAAAAAAAAAAATAGTTGATGTGATTATTCTAAATATTCTAATTATTCTTATATCATATTTTTCCTGAATTTGTATTACATATTTCATACTAGGTAAAAGCTACTCTTTTTTTAATGAATAATAAATATTTTTAGTATATTGTGGGATTTTTTTCTCTGATGTAAGATTACTGGGAAATTAAGACTTGAAAGATGACCACTCTTTTTGACTGTTAAAAGGAAATAGCTAACTTTGTTCTATTATAGCTATGATTATGATATAGTAATTTTGCAAATTCACTGTATGTATACCTTGTTTTACAAACAGTTAATCATGAAGGCCTCAAATTTACGTAATATTCTCATGGAAGTCAGATCTATTTACTTAATCATGGTAAAATTCATAAAGCCCAAGGAGCAGAGCAAGAAGAAATTACAGAAATTAAAGAGAGTAGAGGAAATCTGCTCTCATTTAAAGAAGACATATTGGATTATTCCATTGTATTGTACTATCTATACTACATTCTCTTCAGTACCCTGCATAATTACAGTACAGAATAGCTCTTGTAAATATCGCCTACAAAAAATTCTATTATTAAGGTAAACTCACATTTGAAAAAATAATCCATTTACAAATGTATGCTATTTTCCTTGTAAATATCTTGTATCACACTATTAAATTATGAATCATGGCTGCATCTAAGCTTAATCCATTGTCTAAAAATTCTAAATATTTCTAATTCAATCATATTAATTATTTGTCATCTTTAGATATGATCAATTAGTAAAGAAAGAGAAAATTGATGGTAAAATGTGTTATTTAAAAAATACTACGATTTAGCAAGAAAGCCAAAAAAAAATGGGATTTTAATGGGTTTAGTAGATCTGTGTAGTCAACACAGAGAAACACTGTGCTTTATGCATCCTTTTAGAAACTGTTCAAGACACTACAACATTTGACGAATGATAGCTGCTAATGTTATTCAATGTAGGATTTTCTGTTGCTGGACCTTGGCTGAAGGTCACATTTGTAAGTGAATTGGCGTAACATGAAAGTAATAGAAGCAAAATATTAGTAGTCATATAAAATATTTTTAACCATAGCAGTGGTGGAATAGGAAACTATTCAAAGGTGGGTGGGGGGAAAGCTAGTTTTTATTTATTTATTTATTTATTTTTGAAACGTGGGTTGCTGTGAGAGGATAGGCTAAACTATTGGGGATGCTTTCTGATATATTAGCTTAATTTTAATACTATGTGTAGACACTTGGCCCTTTGAATTAGATGTGAGGTGGCATGTATCTTACTCTCATGATACCAGCGGACAATAGGAGTTTTCACAAAAGTCTAACATGTTTCCATTCTCAAGAGTGACACAAGCCAGTCTCTGTCTACATCACTAATTCTACGATCCTAAGATCTTTTGCTATCAATAAGGGAGTCCTGGAAATCAGTAACAAGTGTGGAGGCCATGTGAGTACACTGGCACTTCTCTTCCTACAAGTGCACAATTGACCAAGGGCCCGGGCTCATCCCTTGAAAATATGGCGTGAACCCGGGAGGCAGAGCTTGCAGTGAGCCGAGATGGCGCCACCGCACTCCAGCCTGGGCGACAGAGCGAGACTCCGTCTCAAAATAAAAAAAGAAAGAAAGAAAGAAAAGAAAATACATTGCCATGCTTGCACTACGACCAGCCTCCCATGAGTGAGTGCAGTGCAGATCCTGAAGCAGACAATGGTCTGCTTTCCTAGAACACTAGACTACTTTGAAAATGGGCCTTTGCCCAAGGAATCCCTAAATTTGAAGAAGGTTCCCTAAAATGAAAGACACTCTAACACACTTTTTTATTCTCACTTACGTGGGGTCAGAATTGTGTTGTGAGATCTAAGGTCTCCTTTCTATTTCCTCTCACAGCCGTGCTTCCTCTCATAAATTCCTTGAACATTTTATCCTTTCCTGGCATCTGCTTCTCTGAGGATATAGCCTAATGGTGGAGAATTATGTTTTTGTTTCTAAAGAAGATATACAATTTTGATGCAACTTCAATAAAAAGAAAATATTCTGAAAATTCTACTTCTGTGATATTACACAATTGAATTTCTTTTTCTTCACAAACCTATCTTGAGGGGTTATATCATGAAGGGAAAGAAACCCTTTATATCAAGAATATGAGTTCAAGCTTTGCTGGGAGTTACTACGTTAAAATGCATTGGGCCACACACATATAGCTACACATATACACACACACAAGTTTTACCAGTAAGTGAAGTGAAAACTACTAATGAAATATTATGTTATAGATAAATAATATAAATTGGAACTTTATAGTTAAAATGAGAAAGACCTTACAGGTTATATAGACCAACTTTCTCACTTCACATCTGGCAAAATGAAGAACCAGAGAACTGAAGAGATCTACTTGAGTAAACCGGTTGGTAGTTGCAAAAGTAAATATAAATATACTATATATATATATATATATATATAAAATATATATAGCATTTATATATAATATATATAGTATTTATACATATTATATATAGTATTTATATATATATGTATACTTGTATATATAAATATAAGTATATATACGTATATAAGTGTATATAAATATAAGTATATACTATATATAAGTATATAGTATATATAGTGTAAATATATAGCATATATAAACTATATATATATAAAGAGAGAAACGTTTAAATTTTTCTCATTAAAAATGTATAAGGCACCCCAGTAGTTACTCACATGAAAGTTATTACAATTAAACCTCAAAGCATCCCTATAAGAAAGACTTTAATATCATTGCATCCACTTAATTATCTGGGAAATATTTCTCAAAGTTATTTAGGTAACTTGCCTTGGGTCCCACATTACGAAATGCCAGAGTGACGTTAATTCACATTTCATAAGCTAAATCTTAAGTGAAGTTTTTATTTGATGGTCTAGAGTTCTAGGAGCCTCATTTGACATTAAAAAAAGAAGTCTTTAAAATTCTCCTGTAAAATATACAGCCATTTTCTGTCAATTTATTTCACTGGTAGTATCAGTTTTCATTTAAATATATGTACAAATACATTAAAATTTTTCATAAAATAAATATTGCATCCCTTCTTTGCAGAACTTGTTCGTGGTATCCTATATGTCAACAGCATGTTTATTTGGCAGCAAACTGCTTTGGCATGTTTAGGTGGAAGCATGCAGAAAATTATTAGAAAATAAAGTTCTATTTATCTTGTATTCTTGGAAACTCTTTAAATATGCAGATAACATATGAATACTCTAGATATCTCTTTGCCTATATAAAATTTAACTTGTGTTATAACATTTTCATTTTGAAAAGGTGTTCATGTGACCCACGGCATTTCTAGAACTTTATGACATAAAACTTATTGCTTTACAATTGTGTAGGAAGCCGGGCGCAGTGGCTCATGCCTGTAATCTCAGCACTTTGGGAGGCCAAGGCAGGCAGATGACGAGGGCAGGAGATCGAGACCATCCTGGCTAACACTGTGAAACCCCGTCCCTACTAAAAAAAAAACAAAAAATTAGCCGGGCGTGTTGGCGGGCGCCTCTACTCCCAGCTGCTCGGGAGGCTGAGGCAGGAGAATGGCGTGAACCTGGGAGGCGGAGCTTGCAGTGAACCGAGATTGTGCCACGGCACTCCAGCCTGGGCAACAAAGCGAGACTCTGTCTTAAAAAAAAAAAAAAAAAAAAAAAAAAAAAAAAAACTGTAGGCAAGCATGCCTTTACTTAGCAATCACAACTTGCTGTGACTGTAACAGCTTTTCATATATTGAATACTCCACCTTTAAATCAAATCATTTTTATTTTCTTCTTGCTGTATATAATGTTACACAGACAGACATGAGACAGCAACTGTGACCAAAAAGGTCATTAATAATTAAATGGGTTCTTAGTCCAGGATTTAGTATTTCCTAAACCCTGTTGTCTGATGTGTTAGTTGGCTGAACTTAAAATAGTGAACAGGAAAAGTAAAACTCTTTAAAGTGTGAATATCACCGTCAACAAGAGAAGAGATGTTTATTCACATTATTGATCCTCAATTTTAAGACCTGTTTGTCACTCAGTAAGTTTTAGAGAATTAGACCATGTATAGTACTTCAATGGGTCTGCAATGACACTGACATAATGTGTTGTTAAGGGTAGGAACAAAATAGAACTCTTCAGTGGAAAATCCTATGTAGCCTTTTATTTAGTGGAAAGGGATCTGCAAGAAAGCCGTGTGTCTGTGTGTGTGTGTGTGTGTGTGTGTGTGTGTGTGTGCGTGTATGTTTGTTAGACAAAGCTCCCAGAATAGACTTAAAATGAAGCTTGTCTTTTTGTGAGGCCTTTGACAAAGAGTTAAGCACCATTCCAAAAACCTCACTCTGCCTTATTCCTGTCCAATTCTGTATCTTTATAGTCTATTAGTGTTCACATTTTATAATTATTCAGACCCATAGGAACGTGCTACTTTCTTAACCTTTCTACCATATCTTAGAAACCCTAAATAATTCATGGTCTGTTTTTACCTTAAAGTGATTTTCACAGTCATAGACAAGTCAGTTTAAAGTAATGTGACACAGAGTAACAAAATGAACAAAAAAGCATTTTGCTAAGCTCTTTATACACACTGCCATGTTGTTCTTTATGACAAATTTATGAGGTAGGTTCCTTAGCCCCATTTCACAGGCTGAGAACCTGAGACTGTCAACACTAAGCTGATTTTACTGTGATTACATCTTAGTGAGTGACAGATCTAGCAATCATGGAATTGAGAAGGCCCCACCTATGTTATGTTATAACATAACATAACATAACATAACATAACATAGCATAGCATAGCATAGCATAGCATAGCATAGCATAGCATAGCATAGCATAGCATGGCAACATAACATAACACAGGGGGCCTTCTCAATTATGTTATAACATAACATAGGGGAGGCCTTATAATTTTCTTCATTCTTATCTTGATGTGAAATAAGGACAACATCTGCAACAGGAGGTTGTGATCACTGTAAGAAACAGCTTCAGAATTACAAAATCTTTTCTTCTACAAGTTAATCTGTACTTTCACTCATTTGCAAATATTTCAAGGCTTCTTCACTCTTGAATATCAATAAAGCGATGCTCACATTGATATATTCAAGTTTCTCTATTTCATTTCTTCATTAGAAGCTCTTTGGTTCACAAAGTTTATTATCTCTAGGAAATGCTACAGAGGTGCTCTCCTGTTTTTATATATGTTATCACTCACCTCAGTTACATCATCGTGTATTTTCTTTCTGCTTCAAGCTTCTTGAAGTTTCACTGCATGCAAAATCACGTTAAAAGAGAATAATAGCCAATGTTCACGTTACATGTGTCGTCTGTCAATGGTCCCATTCTTTAAATATTGATACATTTCTCAATTCTGTTCAGAATTTGATAAATCTCTTCTCCATAACTTGAACCTGCATTGCTTTGTTCATAATTTCATGACACTAACTCTTCCGTATTTTTAAGGAATTGTTAATGCACACAATAATACCTCACTGGTAAGCAGAAATAATAGGTTGTACCATGGTAT